>NC_000001.11:241184121-241335636 GCF_000001405.40 Homo sapiens | reverse complement strand
GTTCCAATAGGACCTAACACATCACTTGATAAATTTAGTGGATATTTATTAAATGCCTGACAGATTAAAGAATGTATGAAGGAAGAAAGGGTTAGAATTCTGGATAACATTTTAACAACAGATTTGATACATTGGTTGACTAATATTTTATGAATAAGTAGTTCCTCAAACCCAGAGAAAAGTGGCAGTTTTGCAGTTTGCTGTGGAACTTGTTGAATTAATAGAAATTGTTTTTTCTCCAATTCCAGAATCATTAAACATCCATTGAATTGCCCACAGAGTGGAAAGTACATAGAACTAATCCAAAGATCCTGGTCCCGACATTATTACTAGGGGCTTGATTTGGACAATCTGTTGAATCTTAATTCTTACATTTGTGAAATGTGCATGTATCTCTGTGTGTGAAAGGGGTATAGTGGATGTAAGGATCATGCTAGCTCCTCAAGATACCATTTAGGGTGCTGGAATAACTTCCTCCTCTCCCCCTATAACTTAGGAAATACAATTCATCTGTCAAGGTTACAGACTCCCCTTTACAAGTGGGATCAGTCTGCAGTTTTTTGCTGTGCTGTTTTGATTTTACTTGGTTTAGCCCCACTTATTAGTGTGGAGATTGGAATAATCAATGTGCAGGAAATTAATTGCCCCATGGATATTATTTTTGATTGTTCAGAACATTAAACTGGCAGAACCCAGTGCCCTTGCCTGCTGATTGTTAATGACTTCTAATATGTCATAATTTAATGATGCTTGCAGAAATAAATATTTGGTTTATTCTGTAGTGTAACACAATTAATGATTCTTGAAGGGATTCTATAACTAGAATTACTGATGGGACCTTTTGCCAAGAGATGCTCTTTTTTTTCTATTTTTTTTCTTGCAATTTCTTTGGTAAAGGTAAGGAATGGTCACCGCATTCAAAGGAAAGTGAAAAATCCATGGATATTTTTATGTTACTTTAGAAAACTGCAGTATAGAAAGAGAACTTCATGAATTGAGTGGTTACTACTGTTTTGGAGGAGTTTTACTGGATAGTCCCTTCCCACTGTATTGCCCTGCAAGGTAAAAAGAACTTTCCAACTAACAGCCTTTCACTGTGGAATGGGCCCCTGCGGGATATTAGGTTTCCTCTTCTGAGAGGTGGACTGGCTCAGAGGCCCTGAGCATTTGAGGCTGGGGGGAGTATCACTGAGATGATCAAAGAATCCCATGTTGTGGAATGATCTTTATGACCCAGCCAATCCCAGGACCGTGGTACCGAGAGTTTCCCCATCCCCATTGCTCTCCAGCAACAAGAAAGTGCAAGCCTGAGGATGAATCTTGCTATTTCAACCACCGGCCTTGTGATTAGTGGAAATCTTGATTACTCTTTATGGGAAAAAGATTTTTAACTTTTTAGTTAACCACGATCTTCATAACTTCAGTGCAGAAGCTAAGAATTGTGAAAAAGCTTTTACTCTTCTTGTCCATTATCTGTTTATCCTAGGTAGAGTTTTAATATCTAGTTTACCTTTTTGGGGAAGCGACGGAGTACTAAAATACTTTCAAGAGTATACATATATACATATACATATACATATATGTATGTATATACTATATATATGTATATACAGATCAATATATTAATCTGGTTTGACATCACAGCACCAATGTTTATAAAACTATAATATTATAATTGCTATTACAATAATATTAATTACTATTTGTAAGGAAGTCATCTAACTTTCACAGAAACTTATTAACATACGGAAATACAAAGGATCATTTTTCTGTTAAGAAGAGACAACTAAGATGCAAAAATAAAGAGAAAAGCTTTGTACTGGAGAAGATATCTAAAGCTAAAAATTGCTTTTTAATAATCTTGCTAATAGAGTATATTATCTATATAAATAGTTTTAATATCCTTAATGAAAATAAGAAAATACAGTGAATTCCCTTAATTCGCTGTAAAATTGTTGAGATTTCAGTCAAACCATGACCATTATGTGTAGTAAAAGAGTGCCGTATCTAAGACTTACACAGTGTTTTGGATTTTACATAGTGTTTCCAGAGATATTATTTCCTTTTAGTCCTCACAGCAGTCCTCATTGTATATGGTAGATGAGGAATATCAGTTACAGACTTAGCCAAGATTATAAACATGGAAACATGAACCCAATTTTCTAACTCACAAAGTAGTTCTTGTCCCAGCTGAAGTCTCTTCTTATCCGCCTGGCCTTATCTAGATGTCATTTTGAATACATCTGTTCTAACAGACTTGAAATAAAAATTGGAATGACCCAAATGGGACATATCTAGTTACTGCTAGATTCCCCATGGCAGATTTCCACATGTGAACTTTCTCTCATTTAAACAATCCCATCTCACAACAGAGTGTTACTCTATCAAAACCAGTAGTCTAGCAGGGCTTGAGAGGAAAGTGGTAGAGAAAGCTAAGGGAGGCAAATGACAATATTGTAGCAGTCGATGCCTTTAAGGAGCACCTGGGTCTGGCTCTCTATTGATCTGCTTTTGAAGTCTGTTCTAAACTACAACAGCTGCTTTTCCTGTCCCTGAAAGACCCTTCAAAAACAAAATAAGACCTTGTATTTGTTATCCCTTTCCCTCCAGGTGGGGAGTGAATTGAGACAGAGTGGAGGGCTCAGCCCGACATCACTGTTCATCATTGTGAAATAAAACTGTCCATCCCTTGCAGGTGGCAGGGAAAACAAAGGCTGCTGGGGAAATGGTCCTGTTCATTGTTCATTACCTGTTCAATGTCAGACACCCTCCTAGGTGGTTCTGAAGGTGGAATTCTAATTTTTTTTCTTCCTTCTGTTCATGTCAAATTGCATGCAGAATTGAGAGGCTTTACTGTATTGACAATACTAAACTCGCCAAAGAAGGTGAAGCTGCCAGTAAGTTTCTGCTTTTGGTTTGCTTACAGATATGCAGATGGGAGATATAAAACACAATCAAGTTTTCCTAACAGCTTTCCACAATTAATTAGGTTTTCTCTAAAAAGGAAATGTTTCGTTGTGTTAGATACTTCATGGACTCTTAGATGGTGAAGGGGCCGCGGAAGTTGTCTCATTCAGTCCTCCCTCTCCCGCATGCCAGAATTTTCTCCCTCTCTATGACTTCTTTTAGTGGGAAGGAGTCCACATCTTCAGGAGGAAGTCTTGGTTGGACACCTCAAACGATTATAAATTAGTTCCTTACATTAATATAAAATCTATTTTTCTGGCATTCTTTCCCATGGTTCTAATGTACATTTCTGGATTTACATAGGATATCTAATCTCCTTTCACACAAGATCACGTCACCTACACCAAAACATCAATCATGGCCTCCCTAAGCCTTCTCTTTTCCAGGATTAATGTTTCTGTTTCATTTAATCATATGTCACATGATGTGGTTTGCAGATCCATTATCCTTCCTGTGGGCCTCCTCTAGACAGCCCCTAACTGGCTGATGCTTCACTTAACTCCAGTCCTGTGCTTACGATTTCCATTACTGTTCCTTGCATGATTACTTTTAAAAACTACACGGTGCTCTTTGGAATAAATGTTTGAAAGTCAACCTCATAAAAATGTAAAGACTGTAACAGAGGTCGAGGGGGCAGTGGCTGGAAAGGAAATTCAGCAATGGAAGTAGCCAAAGTACAATTTTGGAAACTCGATTGTTCTCTTAGTCCATTACAAATTAAACATTCCCAGGCCAGCAGGTTTCCTCCTGTATCTGCTGAAATCCCTCAGCATGTTATTGATGCTTCTCTAGTGACACTGATATTTTTCGTCTCTGCATTACCATACATCTTTCTGCTGTGAATGAATGAATAATCACCTTACGCCTCCCTAACTCTGGATATCTGAATAGAAGCTGTATTGCTCATTTTGCTTCTCTCTGAAACATTCCTGGTCAAATTTCCAGCTGACAGTAAAATTGTCAAGAGCTCTACCCCTGAAGAGTGGCTTATTTACATTCCTCCTGTTAGAAATACTGCATTAGGTGTAACTAGTAAGTAAATACAGAACTAGAGTAACAAACACAATTGCTAAATCTCAAGTCTAAACTTTGTCTCACAGTATGCAAGTGAATAAGTAATAATAATAATATAATATCAATGGCAGCAACATAATAGTGAAACTATATTGTACCTTTATCATATGTGAGTCACTATGCTAAGCACTTTACATATACTATATATTAATAACTTAATCCTTAAACTACTCACAGATTTGGAGAAGTTAAGGAACATGCCAAAGCTAAGTTGCATGTAGCAGAGCCAGGATTCAAACCTAGATTTTTTTTAAGTCCATTCTTTCAATCATTATATTATAATACTTTAAATTTAATAGATTCTAAGTAAATTTTGACTAGCATTTCTTCTTCCTCAAAATGAAGTTCAGAGGTTTTGCAGACCTTGTGGTTACTTCCAGTTCAATAATCAGCAGCACAATGGGTGAGTGGAAATACCCTCTTTCTTAAATTAGACTTTCTTCCATTTTTGATAGAGAGGATCTGAAGTTGGCAGCATCTTTAAAGTGCCTCTTTAGTTGGCTTTTGACATTTGCTGGAACAAAGAGTTTAAATAAATAGAAGGAAAATTCTACTGAAGAACACATTTAATATAGGAATCATGGAAAAGTCAAGCTAAATAGAGATGTACTAATGGACCAATGAAAATCAATGTTACATGTAAATACAAACAGGGTTTTTAAAAATAGATTTAGGGGGTATGTGTGCAGGTTTGTTACATGAGTATATTGCATAATGCTGTGGTTTGGACTTTTATTGAAAGCATCACTCAAATAGTGAACATAGTACCCAATAGGTAGTTTTTCAACCCTTGCCCCTGACACCTCCCTCCCTGCTGTTGGAGTCCCCAGAGTCTGTTGAGAAACAGCGTTTTATTTTGCTGTGTGGTGTGGAAGAATATATGCCTTTAGATTCTAGGGTGGAAGAGAGTTTCCATAAACAAATATAGCTATAGGGGTAGCTTGACTAATAGAGTGTACAGTGGAACTTTTACAACCCACTTTCTGGATACTCTAATTCTGTTAATGCATGAGTGTTTTCAAGAGCTTCATTGTTTTATTGTCCCCGTTACACTTTCAGGTCACACTGAGCTTGCAGTCAAAGGGAGACTTCAGGTTTGTTTCAGATAAGCTTCTGTATAACTGGTATGTCTTCAAGTGATGGGTTATTTAAACCCACACACTGGCTTTATACATAAATCTACTTAATTACATGTTATTAAATTCAATTTGGCTTTTCATCATGTTGTTTTTTGAATCTGATAGATCATGTGGTATATTCCCTTTCACCCTCAGATGTGTGACATCTACCACTAATAGCAGGTCATATCAGATGAGAGAGTTATGGGCCCTCACTTGAGTTAGCAATTGCCATCAAGGGCCGGGCGGGGTGGCTCACGCCTGTAATCCCAGCACTTTGGGAGGCTGAGGCGGGTGGATCACGAGGTCAGGAGATCGAGACCATCCTGGCTAACACAGTGAAACCCCGTCTCTGCTAAAAATACAAAAAATTATCCGAGTGTGGTGCCGGGCACCTGTAGTCCCAGCTACTCGAGAGGCTGAGGCAGGAGAATGGCTTGAACCTAGGAGGCAGAGCTTGCAGTGAGCCAAGATTGCGCCACCCACTCCAGCCTGGGCGATAGAGCGAGACTCCATCTCAAAAACAAAAAACAAAAAACAAACAAACAAAAAAAAAACAAAGAAAAATTGCCATCAAGTTTTTATTGACTTATTGATTAGCACTTGCTGCTATACAATGGGAAAGCCTAGTTATAAACCATCATGTATGTTTTATATCTATGATCCATCCACCAGCAGCACACAAGAAACATTGTCAAATGTTTCCAGGATTTCACCTAAGTTCCTAGAGCTAAAAAAAATCTTCCTTTTACCTGGTACTGAGGACAGCACCACATTATCCAGCACTTAAGGACCCAAGAGAACCTGTTTCTTAAGTGGTTATTGACAATTAGGCACTTTATGGTCATTATGGAATAACATTAAAGGGAACGTATGGTATTCTGATATCACCGAGCCCTTTGTAGAGGATTAGCGCTTCATTGCATTATCACAAGAAGAACTCTTTTGTGTAGGGTAATGCTGGAAGGAGACAGGTTTTATTACCATCAATATTAATATTAGTGATGGGTATCCCATCTCTGAAGACTCCCAGGCAGTATAACTGGGCTCTAAAGCATTTGGAAATTTTAAACTCCGTAAGCAACCAACTGACTATTGTACATGTTCTGATCTTATTGACAGAATGCTTTTCTTCCCACTCAAACAGACTTTTCTCACTTTTCTAATGATAGTATCTTTGTATCCTGTCAAAGTAAATATGCAAAATTTCTGTAATTCTCTTAATACTTATTGGTTGTAACTCACTAGTATCTTGGGCATGGAAGGTTTTGGTGTGGATACAAGTTCAGTCAACCCCTGAAAACAGTAGGGGATAAATGAGATCTCGAAGTTGGAAATGAGGAAGGATAGACTGAATGTTATTGGCATTTTACAGATATGAAGCTTTTTATTAGATGGAAACCTACCAAGTGCATAACAGCAATGGTTATTTTCACTCCTTTATGTTGCCCATATGGAAAATGAAAGAAAACATTATTTGTGACGGTGAGTGGTAATGACTTCCATTTCACATTTATTGTTGATTTCTAGATACAAGTTTGTGCATAGGTATTGCAGAGAAGAAAAAAAAAATCATGCTATCCCTGGTAGACCAGTTGCCTGAGCATCAACTTTGTTTCCAGAGTATTTTCATAAATGAAATGACCCCACTGTAGATTTATTTGGGGGTAGGGATAATAAGATAGCATTTTCTGACATGTTTCTATAGAGACACAAGCCTTAAGAAACTGTGTTACAAGAAGACAGTGTAAGGTATTAGAGCAAGCATCCCAGATAGTAGCCATGCCTAGGAGATAAAAAACCATGCTGGAGTCCCTAGCTGTCAGTCACCAAAACAGACAGCCATGATACCAGCTGGTCATGGGAAGGTGAAAATTAGAGGAGTGAGCAGGCAGAAGGTGAAAATTTAGACAGGTTAAATTAACCTGGTCAAAGTGCTGGCCATCAGAGTATGGTTATGTGAGTTTGCATTGGCACAAAGACTTGATTTCCAGTCCACTAGGACAGATATGAATCCCATGTTAGGAGTGGAGCTGGGCCTGTAGTTTCTTGTAGCTAAGCAGCTGTACTGTGGCTGAAAGTGGACAAGTGAGCAGTGTTCTTCTCAAAAGTCCACAGCATCACAAAAGTGTAAGGCATGCAGTGGACCAGGTCTTCCTTTATTTTACATATGTGGAGATAAAACTTTCTAGAAGCTAAATGATTGGAACAAGGTTACTAGCCAGTGGCAAAGCCCTGACTCCAAATACAATCCCTTACCACATATCAAAAAAATGTGAACAGGAATAGATTCCTATGAAAAACTTGGGTGAGACCTTTTTTTTAAACAGTCCTTAAGAGCATCCACCTCTAGCAAAATCTACATTCCAAATTTTCCTGTAACAATCCTGACTTCATAAAAATTTTCCAAAAAGCCATTAAATCTAAAATCAAATGTAATTTAATATGTACATAAATTGTACTCTTTTATAAAAACAAACTTCCAAATTCATATATTATTTTTCAAGCCATATGTTATTTCTGCTTTGAAAATATGGTTACTTTATTTTACAGTCTGTACTAGAATGTGGTAGCTGTACTCTAAGAAGCCTTTTTCTATCAAAAATTGAGTTTTAAGCATAATTATTGTATTGGGAAAAAGGATAATTTAGATCTGTAATTATAGCTATTTTTCCTGTAGGAATTTCAATAATAAGAGTTTAAAAAACATCTGTAAATGTATAGTCATAAAACCTTAACATACCTACATACGTTTATTCTTGATTATTTCTAACTTTTGCTCTGGATTAATGGCTTTTCTTTTCTTTCCACCATGAAAACTATTATCAGTGTAGCATTCTTTCACATTCTTATCACATTTGGCAATGAATGATACAGGCTCTCAGACAGATGTATTGTGGGGATCTAGTTCTTGATGCTGCTACTTCTGTCATTATAATAATGACACATGATGGAGCTCAAGTAACAACTGATGTCCCTATACTTGGTTGAATTATGAAAACTTATGCTGTTGGCTTTTCTTCTTGCCTGTTATGTATTATTTAATAAGGAATCCCATAATAACATGTTTTTACTCTTTAGGCTATTTAGTTCATTGCCTTCATCATTGCAATATGAAAACATTCATAATAAACAGTTTTATGAAGTTTATTTCAGGTGCTATATTTCCTATAGGCATGTGTCCTTAAACACCAGGAGGTTCAGAAGTTGATATCTATGGCCTGCCTCTAACAGAGTATAAGGGCCTACATGGCAGGTATTCTAATTTCTAATTACCTACCTGTACCTATGGCTTGATCTTAGTCTGTGTGTTTCTTTCTTTCTTTCTTTCCTTTCTTTCTTTCTTTCTTTCTTTCTTTCTTTCTTTCTTTCTTTCTTTCTTTCTTTCTTTCTTTCTCTTCCTTCCTTCCTTCCTTCTTCCTTCCTTTCCCCTCCCTCCCTTCCTTCCTTCCTTCCTTCCTTCCTTCCTTCCTTCCTTCCTTCTTCCTGCCTTTCTTCTCTCTCTCTCTCTCTCTTCCTTCCTTCCTGCTTATTTCTCTCTCTCTTTCTTAATTTTTTTTCTCTTTTTTTGACAGTGTCTCACTCTGTCACCCAGGCTGGGGAGCTGTTCCATGATCTCAGCTCACCGCAGCCTCAACCTCCTGGGCTCAAGTGATCCTCTCACGTCAGGCTCCTGAGTAGTTGGGACTACAGGTGTGTGCCAGATGGGTTTCAACATGTTGCCCAGGCTGGCCTTGAGCTCCAGAGCTCAAGCGACCTGCCCACCTTTGCCTCCCAAAGTGCTAGGACTACAGGTGTGATCCATCACACCTGGCTTAATCCTACTTTTTCTACTGTTATTTTTGATTCTCTGAAATTTACTAATTGTTGACATTTAATGTGTCTTTCTAATTGGTGTTCCATGTTTTTAAAAGATAAAACATAGGGCAAATAATAATGTAGGTAAATATTAAACACAGTTTTTAAAGAACAAGGTGAAGTACAGACAATAAATAGACACACAATTTGGTAATGCTGTTGTAGACAGGCCTACTGATACACGGAGAAACAAAGAAAGCAGGTGGTATAGCTGGAGGATTCTCTACCTTTAATAAGCTGATGTGAAAATTGAAGAGGAGGTTATTTAGAGCAAGAAGGTAGCCTATGGTTTATCCAATTCTTTCTGGAGGATCTTGAGAGGAAGCCAGGTTAACAGTGGTCATCCTTTGCATCTCACTAAGGAGCTGGTGTACGTACGCAACCAGGGTCCCAGGAGGAAACTGCTGAGGGATTTCTTCTGTCCCTCAGTATTTTCCAATTAGTAGTGAAACCGGAGATGAAGTTCCTAGAGACACCTCTGTTTGAGTACACATCCTAGGCGGGGGAATGTGAGTGCTTTGGAAAGTATTATGACTTTCCTGGGGAAGCTGAAAGCCACTGGGAAAGTGACCTTTGCTGGGTGAAGCAACAAAGAGCTTACTTTGTTTTATCAGTAGATCCGATCACTCTGTATTTTAGTTTATTTAACAGGGTAGCCTCTTGAGTAGAGAGCAGAGGAGCATAGTGAAAAAAAAGAAAAAATGTAACGGTTGTTCCAAGTCATCCTGTTTGCCTGGAGAAGTGAGAAAAATTACATTTTCCTGTAAGAGACTTACAGATATTTTATTCTATTTCCTCCTCCTCTTCCTCCTCCCTTCCCCTCTGTATGTGTCTCAATATTTGATGATAACTGAAAAAAAGGAGAATAGTTTGTGATCAGAATGTTGTCCTAAAACATGAGAGATGCATGCACAACAAGTATCAGATCTAAAATCCCTGCATGATGTCATGGAGTCTGCCAAATGGTCTCTGTATAAAAGTTGCCAATAACCCAAATGGAGTGAGAACCTCTTGCCAACAGACACGTTTCTCCTTTCCTAGTGAAAGTCAGTAGAGATTTATTTGAAAGCAGGTTTAAGTGTGTGCACCTGTGACTGGCAGTGTGTTAGGCATACATGAAAGATGCCTCTCATATCATCAATATGAGTACCCTTTTTACCGTCCTATGGTCATTTTTCATTTTTATGTTTATAGCTTAGCGTGAGTAACTGTGGAGAGCCAAACTGCAGATTCAATAGCAAAATAGTACCTGGCCTATGAGTTCTGTGTAACTAATAGGCACAAGGATCCTCTGCTAGTTTGGATCACTGTGATCGCTCAATAAGAATTCATTGAAAAGGGTTTCAGTGCCTCCCCCTTATATCTAATTTCATCTTTTTGTGCTCAAGAGCACCAACTTATTAGGAAAGTTTTTCACCTTGAACTAGAGAAAATCTTTGTTGTTTAAATAATTGGGTTTCCCCCGTAGCAACAGGATTCTATTTTATCTCCTTAGAGTCAGGTCGTGGATGGGAACATGGAGGAATTAAAATACATCCTATGGAATAGTTTCAAATGTGTTTACCAACAATTTTCCCATATCAGGGTTACCTTGTTTATGAACTTCACAATTATTTTTTATCACTGTTTATTTAAAATATAGCTACTGCTTTTTTGGAAAGATGTGTCCATAGCTTTATAGTAGAATGTGATGTCTTTTAATAGAAATACAGAATACTCTATGACCAAGGAAAAGAAAATCATTAGGTCAGAGTATAAAGATAAGAGGCATTTTATTAAGAAAGAGCTTTTGAACTGAACCTTAAGACTTAGGCCAAAAACTTGTGTCTTTATCCAGACCTGTAAGTCAGAAAAAGATCCTGGGCAAGGAAAAAAGCCAGAGAAAATGAATAGATATGAGGAAGGACCATGAAAAGCTGGTAGGGATGAGTAGGGGATGAATTGAGGAACTGAGATCAGACTGTAAAAAGTTGCCATGGTCATTCTAAGGAAATCTGGTCTTTATTCAGCAGACAGTGGTGTGTTCCAGAAGAGTATTTAATTAGAGGTGACTGTGAATTAGAAGTTTTTCTTCTGATGCAATGCAAAAAGGGTACACGTATTAGAAGACAGAAAGTTCAATGATGAGGCCCTCATAAAGTCTCCATGAAGGGAATGAGTGCATGAGTTATACTTTTTGCAGAGAAAATGGATTATACATGAGATTTAGAATCAATTGTGGTGGTAGGAAGAAAAATAAAGAATCTAGGTTTTAAGTAAAAAGTTGCTTTTTTTTTTGTTTTTTTTGCTTTTATATATTTTTCTTTCATCCCAAACTGTCTCCAAGGCAAAACATCTAAGGTTTAAAATCTTAACTATAATAGTCTACCTATTTCTTAAGTGAACAAGCTGGTAATAAGTAAATAGAGTTAGTTTAAATTTAAAGCTAATTTATTTCTCTATTGAGCTACTATGCCCGTGTGGAAAAGGAAATTATCATCATTGTTGTCACCATCATGCTCCTGATCATCGTCTAACATTGGAGCCGTCTGTGCTAACCACTACACATTCATCATCTCACGCATTTCTCATAACAACCCTTTGAGGCATTGCTATTATATCCATTTTAAACATGATAAATTGGAGACTAAGAGAGACTAAATAACTTGCTTAGGGCCACAGAGGTAATAAATGACAGAGCTGGGCTTCAGTCTCAGGCAGACTGGGCTTTTAAAAATTACCATTTGCCTAGGCCTTTTTGTCACAGGGCCTATCAGTAGGTTAAATTATATTATTATGACTTCTGTGTCTGTCCAAATAATTTAGGTACATTGTGACTCTGTGGAATTGGAGTTGGGTTGCATTTCAGGATAGATGTGAGTCTGCAGGTTGACTGGAATCAGAACCTCAGGGTATCAGGACCTCGGACAGCTCTCGCGTCTGTTCTCCGTTGGCAGCTCTGCTTCTCTCCAGGCATCTTCATCTGCCTGTTTTCTACTGATTAGCTTTCCCCCTCTACTTTGTCTCTTGGACTCGTTCATATCATTGACTTACAGTAGTTCATTCTTCTGATTTCCTAGTCCAGAGTTTTGAGATTCAAATCTGATTGCCCAGTTTATCCTTTAATACTTGGGCAGAGGTTTGCCACTGGCTTGTGTGTGCATGGGCTGATTCTGACTGAAGATTTACTTCTTATTCCTACAACGGGGTCAGGGAGGAAGGAGAAGACTGCAGTTGTAAGCCTCCTCCTCTTAGGCCTCCACAGGCGCTGACAGGCGCCTCTCTAGCTTAAAGGAAGTAGACTGTATCTTGCAAACATACATCACAATTTAAATGAAAAAAATTGTCACAACATTCATTGGTATTTAAAACATTGCATATTATTTAGAACTTGATATATTCATTGGCACTTATAGCCACAAAAACATATTATCAAGAAATTTTCTATTATCACAAAATCAGATGCCTTCATGTTTTCTCTCTTATTTTTAAGGGAAAATATCAAAGCAGTTTGGGGAGTTTGCAGTGTATGATAATAAATATGATATTTAAACGATGAAACTAAATGGTGAAAATCTCTTGTTTTTTATTTTCTGCCTTAATAAGATTTATATTTGTGTTTTTTACTGTTAGTAGAATTTAGAAATTATTTTATTTCCTGGCCCTACCAATTTGATTTGTGTCCTTCAGAGTATTCTTAGATTACAGTATAAAAATTCAAAGTCTGAGCAATATTCATGATCCTATTTTTATTTGTCCTTTATGTGAGAATTCATGAATTACAGTACCTGTATTTTACATTTTGTTAAAAAAAATCTTGTGGAAAAGGTAAGGCTATTGGTGATATGACTGTATAGCACTTAAGCACTCCATGATCTAAAAGTATTTCCAAACTAACATCTTCAGTAGTAACCATGTTGGTACTTATCATTCTATGCCATAGGACCCTCAAATTTTCTGACATTGGAACTTAAAGAATCTCTGAGGGGTGGCTTAGCATCAAGGCCCAGGTTACACATGAGAGACAACACATGCAGTAGATAATTGAATTCAGGGTGGCAGATATGCTAAACCCCTGCTTTTCTTGAATTTATGTAAGTAGGATATTCAAACATCAGATTTTTAATACTCTTTCTTTATATGAGAATCAAATAAGTGGCAGATAAGCTGCTATTAGAGATTAACTGGCTAAAACAACTTTTAGTATCAGTTAAAGAGTGAATATATAGTCAACCAATATCTTGCAACCTCTGAATCTATCAAATAATGGTAGTCGATATGTGTGATTATGTGGAGAAATGAAATAATCCTGAGATGCCTTCTGAATCATTTTGTAAAAAGATTCAGCCACTCACTTATAGGTGTGGTGTTGTACACCTAGTATGTGCTAACAACAGTTACTTATAAAGGTGAGCAAGGTGAGGTTTACTTACAAAGGTGAGCAAGATGTGGTAGAGGTGGCAAGAGACATGTATGCCAGCAGAGTGAGAACGTAGAGGACAGAGACATTGCTCTCAGGTGGGATAATCTAGACAGGCTTCAGAGAGGAGGGCTTCTGATGAGTTAGGTTTGAATAGGTGAAATGGGAGGAAGGTTAGTCAAGTGGGAAAAACCGTGAGAGGGCAGACATGGAGGTGGAAGAGTTCTCTGAATGCTCAGAGAACAACACAGAGTCTCTTGGGGATGGAGCGTAGATTTTGCAAGGGACATGTGGTTAATCAACAATGAAGGCAGATTGGAGCCAGTTTGTGAGGAGCTTGAATTCTAGAACGGCGGTTTGGACTTTATTCCACAACTAATGAGTGAGAATTATACACTGTCAATCAGTGCCACATTTTTGAGCGCTGATTGAGCTATGTTTTTAGAAGTCTATCTGGCTACTATGTATATAATAGATTATAGAAGGTTATTTAGAATTATGGTTATTAGATCTAGGTGCAGTTTATTCTTTAAGGTTCATAGTAAATATATAACATATGTCTTAATTCTCAGACATAATTGAAGGAACCATAACCTCCCATCTTCATGTTGTTCTGCACAAATGATAGTGTTCTATGGTTTGAGAAAGAGAAGTTTGGAAGATGTGGAAGCTGAAATAGTTAAAAAAATCTTTTAATCTGCATGAAGATTTTTCAGTGTGCCTTTGGAAAGTGAATCTGATGTGCTCACCCAATCTCGTTATCTGTGGGAGTGCATAGAGCCCGAGTGAGGTGGAAGGGGGATCGAGTTTGAATCCGCCTGGGGACTCCAAATTGCTTGAAAACAGAAAGCTGTGAGGATAAAAAAAACTGCTTGTGCTTTTTGGTTCTTCTGTAGAGAGACCATTTTATTTTTCAGTGCATTTCTTTGGAAGATAGGAAGAGCAATAAAGTTCAAATTTGAGATATCTAAAAGTGACTTTGTTAGTCCACAACAATGGAATCCTAAAGAACACTTCTCTGTCATGATACAATTTAAGAAGAAATTTATACTACCTACTCGCCCCACCCCAGCTACAAACTGAATTTGGGAAATAATACTTTCACACCAGTTTTAAAAGTTTATAAATCTTCATAAAATTATCTTTTCCAATTCTATACTTTCTGTAGTGAGTGATAGTCAGTGTGTCTTCCAATATTCCAGTGGGAATCATTGTTAATAACAGCAGATTTTGTTATTTTTTATGCCCATTCTAATCACATAACATTGGGTATTTACATTGATGATATTAGGCAATTGTCCAGTGCAGCCTTTATTAAGCTTTGTATTGTAAATACAACTACATTTTAGTTTAACACAGTGTTGGAACCAAGAAGGCTTGTCCCCACACCCCACAGCACCCCTTTTTGTTCCTGCTACAGAAAGTGCATGCTTCAACACTGCACTTAATAACACTACTGCAACTGTGGATTTGCCTGACTATTCCTGTTAGTCTCAGTTTGTTGAGGAAAGAAGCACTGTTCCTCCTTTCCATGTTCTAGTGCCTAACACCAAACCTGGCACTTACAATGCCATCAGTTAATGCTTATTGAATGATACTATTTAATTAAATGTATAGATTGAATTTATGTAGATAACATTCACCCTTTTTAGGGTGTCAAGACACCTAGTTTGTTTTTACTACTCGAGTCAAACAGCCAGTCACTTAAGTGAGAGAAAACAAAAAGGTCAACCATTTGTTTAAGTTATGGGAGTGTCAAAGTTGCTTATCCATTCATTCATTTCTTTATTCAGAAGGCACTGTGCTTTGTTAAATCACTTTCCACAGTTATTATAGTGTGATAGTGCTTACTGTTGATAAATTCATTGAGGGATCTCTCCGAAGGATGAGCATTTATATTGTAGTGGAGAACTCAGAAAGTGTTCCTGGGGAAGGTTTTGAAGGAAAACTCATAGTTACATGAGGAACATAGAGCAAGGGGCCTAATATATCAGCAACAGCACCTATTAGGGCACAGAGTTGGAATTAGCATGATGCTTCAGGGAACTACAAGTAATTCAGCATGGCTGGGAAAACACAGGGAGAGTAGTTAGCTTCTTTGGGACATTTTCAAACTTTTTTTCTTTTCTTTACGTGGAGTCTCGCTCTGTTGCCCAGGCTGGAGTGCAGTGGCACAATCTCAGCTCACTGCAACCTCCGCCTCCCGGGTTCAAGTGATTCTCCTGCCTCAGCCTCCTGAGTAGCTGGGATTAAAGGCGCACACCACCAGGCCCAGCTAATTTTTGCATTTTTAGTAGAGACGGGGTTTCATCATGTTGGTCAGGCTGGTCTCGAACTCCTGACCTCGTGATCTGCCCGCCTCAGCCTCCCAAAGTGCTGGGATTACAGGCGAGAGCCACTGCGCCCGGCCTTCGAACTTTTTAAAAACAAAAATTAAATTATAAAACATTTTCTAGAATATGTTTAATGAGTGAAGTGAGATATGATTATGTTATCTTTTTAAAATTTATGTTTTTAAAAATAAACTTTTGGGTCAGGCATGGTGGTTCATGCCTGTAATCCCAGCATTTTGGGACGCTGAGGCAGGAGGATCACTTAAGGCCAGGAATTTGACGTTACGGTGAACTATGATGGTGCCACTGAACTCCAGCCTGGGTGACAAAGTAAGACCCTGACTCTAAACATAATAATATTTTTAATAAAATTTTATTTCTCTATCCCAGGAGTATTTCACAATCATTATGTAAACTTGGAAACATCACCTTTAATCCCTCCAGTTAAAGGCACTACCACCATTAATATTTTGTTGCATTTTCTTAGGGTATTTTTATACCAACATTTAATAGGCACCATTAACAGTAAAATCTATATTCTTGTATTTTTCTTTTATATTAGCATTTCATGTTTACATTTCATGGATGTATAACATGGGAAAATCAGTCAAGTCACATTTTTGTAATAAATCATGATTTAATGGCTTTTATTGTAGAAAGGGAGTAGAAAGCTAACATTTATTGACACCCCATGAAGATTTTTATATTAAATATTATCAGCCAACCAAGTTAAAGATGCCAGAGGCAACCATACTACAGTGTCCAGAGGGTAAGAAATGGTTATGGTGCTATCACATCTGTATGGATTTCAAGTTGAGCTTAGGTTGTTCATTTAATCATTTTAACAATCTGGTGAAACATTTGAAAAATCACACATGATCCACCTGTCTTCCTGAGGAGTAATTGATGGATCAGTATCCTTCGTTTGATCATCTTTTTCTGCTTTTTTGTTAAAAAAAAATTAAGTGTCGTGCATTTTTAAAGGGCTAAGTCCAGGAAGCCTTTTGTAAATGAAGCAAATCGAATATGTATTGCTTTATAATGATTAAAATATAAATGTTGATCATTTTTGCTTATAAAACAATAGCTCTACATTGAAAATTCTCAGGATAGTCTGGGCATGGTGGATTATGCCTGTAATCCCAGTACTTTGGGAAGCCGAGGCAGGTGGATCACCTGAGGTCGGGAGTTCGAGACCAGCCTGACCAACATGGAGAAGCCCTGTCTCTACTAAAAATACAACAACAACAACAAAAATAAGAAATTAGCCAGGTATGGTGGCACATGCCTGTAATCCCAGCTACTCGGGAGGCTGAGGCGGGAGAATCGCTTGAACCCAGGAGGCAGAGGTTGTGGTGAGCCAAGATTGCACCATTGCACTCCAGCCTGGGCAACAAGAGTGAAACTCTGTCTGGGAAAAAAAAAAAGAAAAAAGAAAGAAATTTCTCAGGATAGAAGCCTTTTAGATGCTGGCAAGGGCATATATGCACATAGAATACTTTAAAATGATGTCAAATATAAGAAATGACTTTTTACAGTGGAGAGCTCTTTGATGTCATCTACGTGATAGATTCCAACCAAGTCTCATTTTATATTTAATGTGAAATATTATAGATGTCTATAATTTTACCATTATCTTAAAAACTGAGATACTTCCATTAGTGTGTGATTGCTGGATTCCAGTATTGACCAAACAATTTTAATCTTTTGTCTATATATGTCTTTACTTGCCCATTTCTATCAGAATGATTACTCTCTGGTTAGGACCTCCTGAGTGACAGGGGATATGTCTGTAACACGTAGACAAATGTATTATTCAAGGAGTAAGTATTATGCTCAGCCTCTCAGTTGAGAAGGTGAAGTGAGTGAGGGGCACCAAGATGGCAGGAGATGGTTTTCCTGTGGAAAACCCAAGACAGGATATTGTTTATGTGGAAAAGCCAAGGCCTTGAAAGGAAATCTCGGAAGAACTGGGAAGGCGTATGATTCAGTGTTTACTGCCAAATGTTATCTTCTGCTTTGGCAAAGGAGATGATGATATTATTGTCCCTGTAAGATATATTTAGAACCTAAAAATATATCCAACAGCAGCAACTGATGAGTGGCCAAGAAGCTGAAGTCTGAAACCTTGATAATCCAAAAAGATACATCTAATGATGTCAGCAACAGAGATGTTTATTCCATGATATTTTCAAAGGGTGCATACTTTTGATGTGCAGATAACCACTGATGATCTTTCCTCCCCAAATTCATTACTGGAATCCCGGGTGGCTGGGAGTGGAGTCCTGATTGCCATGGGTTCTCAGTGAGACCTTGAGAAGCCTGCCTCAGGATTTGGGGTTTGATTCAGCTGAAGAGTTGACAGTAGCTTCCTTTGTGCACATAGGGAGACGTAAGAAAAGAGGAATGCAGAAAGTAAGGGTAAGGTCCTTTCCCCATATTTGGCTCCAAATAATTCTAACAAGTTGTTTTCTGGAGACCAAGCTACAATGGTGTGCTGGAGCTGGCTTGTAGTATTTCACAGGAGCCAATTGCTAAATTCTCAGGAATTCACATGTTGGCTGTTAAACAGTATATATTAACTATTCAATTATATAAACTTATAGTTCATTAAATTATATTAAATGGAAGCAATACTCAAAACTTGTAACTTTCTAGTTTTTTACTCCATTTACAATTATCTGTGCTTTTGAGGTTGTTTACATCTTGTAAATAAACTGCTCATTTCTTCCCATCTCTGGGCTCCATATCAAACATTGGAAGCTTGAAATCAGCTTCCAAACGTGCAAATACTTTTGTTTGTATTTACCCCAGGGAAATCAGCAAACACTACAAATCAGTGCTTGATTGATTATTTTATTAGCTGTCAAGACTTCAGAAAGTGATGGAGAAAATGTTAACATTGCAAATATAAACTTAAAAGTGCATTAATGCCTTTCACTATTACATATTACTTTACATAATAGTAAACACATATATTATTCTGTATCTGAAAACTATTAAATGATCTGATTCAGCAACAAAAAAGTGGCTCACATCATTGATAAACAAATGGAATTTTGACATTCATCTTCTGAAAAATTGAAGAAAAGGGGACACTTCTAAACTCAGTTTATGAGGCCAGCATTAACCCAATACAAAAACTAGATAAAGATATAACAAAAAAAGAAAACTACAGGCCAATATCTATGATAAATATGGATGCAAAAATTCTCAAAACAATACTAGTAAACCGTCTTCACCAGGTCATTAAAAGGATCATACACCAGGACCAAGTGGGATTTGTCGTTGGGATGCAAGAATGCCTCACCACATGTTTGGTATTGTGAAATACTTACATTTGGTCTTCCATCAGTCTCCTGAATACAGCTCCTCAAATCCGGGAATCTCCAAAGTATTAAGTATCTCTTTATGCTAATGAGTTGACTGATTACTGGCTACCCTATGTAGCTTCAGGATGTGGGGACTGGTCACTGGAAAGACCAAGGCATGATTAGAAGGTAGGGACTTTCAGCCCCATCCTTGCTCCCCCACCTCCAGGGAGAGGAGAAGGGCTAAAGGTTGAGCTGGTCTTCAGTGGCCGGTGATTTAGTCAATCATGACTGTGTAACAGCACTCTCCCCAAACCCCCAAAACCTGGGTTCAGAGAGAGGTGAACACTTGGAGGTTCCTGGAGGGTGGCATGCCTGCAGAGGGCATGGAAACACTATCTCTAGGTAGATAGTGGCAGGACTGTACTGGAGGACAGCTAGTGTCTGCTCAAGAATTGATTGCTTGCTTGATGTGTGGGGAAGAACCCCCCGCAATGAGTGTCAGAAGCATGTTATGAAAGTAGAGTAGGAGAAACTAAGTTTGTTTTTCTACTTCTGTACCACGTGCAGATCAATTAATGTGATTCAGTATATCAACAAATGAAGGAAAAAAATCACACAGTCATCTCAAAAGATACAGAGAAAGCATTTTACAAAATGTAACAACCTTTATTGATAAAAATGCCTAATAATATATGTGTAGAAAGAATTTACTTCAACATAATGAAGGCTGTATATGAAAAGGGCACAGCTGACATCACACTCAATGGTAAAAAACTGAAAGCTTTTTCTCTAAGATCAGAAAAAAAGACGAGGATGCCTACTGTTGACACTTCTATTCAGCATAGCACTAGAAGTCCTAGCCAGGGCAGTTAGGCTAGAAAAGGAAATACGATGCATCCAAATCAGAAAACAAGGAGTAAAATTCTCTCTTTTCACAGATGACATGACCTTATATGTAGAAGATCCCAGAGACTTCACAAAAATTGTTAGAACTTGGAGCAGGAAAATCAGTAAGTGGGAGTTGTTGGTTTTATGGAATGTATTTAGCTAAAATTAGTAAAAAGTAATAACATTAGAGACTACATTCAAATGTTTAGTACCACAAGAAAGTGGCTTGGTTATCACTATCTTTTTTTAATCATCAAATTTTTTAAATGTATTTTCCCCCTATTCTGAAATTGCAAGGCTATAGGGATTAGCTATTATCAGATATCAGACAGTTGTTGACAGGAGAGCACGGCTGGGGAAGATGCAAGGTGTAGGAGGTCCACTTTAATTACAAAAAACAAAAACTGACCACTATTCAACTTCAAATAATTCAAGCTGAAGCTTCCCTTTTCATTCTTAGGTTGATCTTTGGCTGTTATTAAGACTGTCTTGATTTCTGGCACTCCTCTCTCCCTCAGCCCCAAGTCAGTTCTTGCCATTTTCTGCATCTCAAAAAAAAAAAAAAAAAAAAAAAAAAAGAAGAAGAAGAAAAAAAAAAAGCTTCTACTGTTTCATTGTTTGAATAAAACACCTTGAAGCTATTCTTGATGCCATCCTTTTTCTTACTCTGTCTTCAACATCAATAAGTTCCCCGGGCTCTAACTTTAAAATATATCTTGACTCTACTCACTTTAAACCATTTCTACTGCTACTACTATCAGTTTTTGCACAGACTATTGCAAAGGGCTCCCAAGTGGCTCTCATAGTTCCTACCTTCTATCTATTCCCTACAGTACAGTGAAAATAATCTTTTAAACATTTGAGTTAGCTCATGCTACAGCCTACACAAAATTATCAGTGAATTCCCCTTCCTTTGGCCTACAAATTCCGATGGTGTCTGGGCCCGACCACAGCTCTACTTCTTTTACCAAATCCCCTGCAAGAAAGGGAATTTATATATTTCTGATTCCCACTGCGCTCTACTTTTGTTCATAACATTTATTACTTTCTAACATTATATATAATTTATGTATTATAGGCATAGCTTGGATATATTGCAGGTTTGGTTCCAGATCACCTTGATAAATGAATATGACAATAAAGCGAGCCACACAAATTCTTTGGTTTCTGAGTGCATATAAAAGTTAAGTTTATACCACACTGTAGTCTAATAAGTGTCAAAGAACATTATGGCTAAAAAAACAAGGTACATACCTTAACTTAGAAATTCTTTATTGCTAAAAATTGTTCACAATTGTCTGTGCCTTCAGCAAATCTTTTTCCTTGGGGAGGATCTTGCCTCAATGTTGATGGCTGTTGACTGATGAGGGTGGTAGTTGCTGAAGGTTGGAGTGGCTGTGGCAATTTCTTCAAATAAACGACAGTGAAGTGAGCCGCATTGATTGACTCTTTCTTTCACGAAAGATTTCTCCATTGCATGTTATGCTGTTTGAGAGCATTTTATCCACAGAAGGACTTCGAAGATTGAAGTCAATTCTGTCAGGCCCTACTACGCTTTATTAACTATGCTTATGTAATATTTTAAATCCTTTCTTGTCATTTCAAAAATGTTCATAGCGTCTTCACTAGGAGTAGATTCCATCTCAAAAAACCACTTTTTTTTGCACATTCATAAGAAGCAAGTCCTCATCTGTTCAAGTTTTTTCATGAGATTACAACAATTTAGTCACATCTTCAGCCTCCACTTAAAATCCAAGTTCTCTTGCTATTTCTACCACATCTGCAGTGACTTCCACCGCTGAAGGCTTGAACTCCTTTAAGTCACCCATGAGGGTTGGAATCAACTTCATGCAAACTTCTGTTAATATTGTTATTTTGACCTCTTCCTATGAATTATGAAAGTTCTTAATGACATCTAGAATGGTGAATCCTTTCCAGAAGGTTTTCAATTTTTTTTGCTAGATCCATCAGAGAAATCACTATCTACATGGATAGATGTTATTATACATCTGTCTAGGTATAGACTTACAAAATGTATTTTGTTTTTAACTTGTAAGACTTAAAGTAGAAACTACTCCTCGATCCATGGGCTGCAGAATAGATGTTGTGTTAGCATGAAAACAACGTTAATCTTTTCATAGATCTTCATCAGAGCTCTTGGGTGACTGTGAGCATTGCCTGGGCCTTGTTGCTCCATTGATAGAGCACAGGCAGAGTGGATTTAGCATAATTCTTAAGAGTCCTAGGATTTTTGGAATGGTCAATGAGCATTGGCATAAACTTAAAGTCACCAGCGGCATTAGCCTCTACCAAGAGAGTCAGCCTGTCCTTTGAAGCTTTGAAGCCAGGCAATGACATCTCCTCTCTAGCTATGAAAGTCCTAAATGGCATCTTTTTCCAACAGAAGGCTGTTTCATCTACAAGGAAAATCTATTATTTAGTGTAACTACCTTCATCAATTCTCTTGGCTAGATCTTTTGGAAAACTTACTGCAGCTTCTTCATCAGCATTTGCTGCTTCACTTTGTACTTTTATGTTACGGAGATGGCTTCTTTCCTTAAACCTCATGAACCAACCTCTGCTAGCTATCAAATTTTCTCCTGTGACTTCCTCACCTCTCAGCCTTCATAGGATTGAAGAGAGTTAGGGCCTTGTTCTGGATTAGGGTTTGGCTTATGAGAATGTTGTGGCGGGTTTGATCATCTATCCAGACCACAAAAACTTTCTCCATATCAGCAATAAGGCCGTTTCACTCTCTTATCATTCGTGTGTTCACTGGAGTAGCACTTTTAATTTTCTTCAATAACTTTTCCTTTGCGTTTGCAACTTGGCTGACTGTTTGGCTTATCTTAGCTTTCTACATGCCTCTCTCATGAAGCTTCATGCTTCTGGCTTTTGATTCCAAGTGAGAAATGTGTGACTCTTCCTTTTACTTAACACTTAGAGGCCATGGTAGCATTATTAATTGGCCTAAATTTAATGTTGTTGTGTCTCAGGGAATAGAGGGGCCCGAGGAGTGGGAGAGACACAGGGCAACGGCTGGTTGGTGGAGCAGTCAGAACACATACAACATTCATGGATGAAGTTCACCATTTTAAAGGGGTGTGGGTTTTGGTACCCTAAAACAATTACAATAGTAACATCAAAGATCACTGATCACAGATCACCATCACAGATATCATAATAATGCAAACAAGTTTGAAACACTGTGGGAAGAATTACCAAAATTTGACACAGAGACACAGAGTGAGCACCTGTTGTTGGGAAAATGGCACTGATGGCCTTGCTCAGTGCGGAGTTGTCACAAACTTTCAGTTTATAAAAAATGCAATATCTACAAAGTGCATTAAAGCAAGCACAAGGCCTGTATATGTATCAATGTGCCATTGTTTGTAGTCTGTTTCTCTCACTAGAATGTAAGTTGCGTGAAGACAGTGACCTTTTTGTGTTTTGTTCACCAGTGCATCTCCAGTGCCTAGAATGGGGCCTGACACATTACAAATGTGCAATAAATATTTACTGAGTGAATCAAGATTGGAAATGAAAATCTGATGAATGATTGGAGAATGAAAGTAAAATCTCCCTGTATTTGGTAATCTACTGGTTATTGATCTTAATTTCCTAATCAAATGTCCTTTGTGAGGTTCAAATAATATGCTGAGGAAGACAGAGGTGTGATGAAATTCATGTCTGAAGTCATTGATTTTTCAAACCATCAAATGTTCATCTATTTGCTGATAAAAGGAGAGAAGCTCAGAGCTGCGCTGAGGTGTTTCTTCCGTGTATATACTCCTTTTAAGTAGCAGGAACAAAGAGAACCAGTTGATTTTCATGTAATTATTTTGGGGTTTTGTTTTCCAATTTGGGGACACATATCATGATACAGTCAGTTCTGCTATAATGCTCATTTGAAAACACAAATTTGTTCCAACACAATTGATATCTTAGGGAGCAATTCTCATGCAATGTGAATTTCGTGATTGTTTATGCATAGTTTCATTTGTGAGTGAATGAAAAAAACTGCACCCAGCTGAATTGAGCCCTATAGAAATATATAAAACGCCCATTTCTCAAACATCTACCAGCTACCTCACAGTTCAGGCCTTGGATATGAGCATAACACCTCCTACTGGCATGACAGCTCTCCAGCTTCAGACAATCCTCTTTCTACCACTTTCCAATAACTCACAAGCTTTAGCTCTTCCGGTGCTCACTTCCATGAGCCAACTTTCAGGTCTTTGTCAGGATAGAAACAATGTATTGTCTTGAAAATACAAAACTATTGTAGTATGTATGTATTTCTTAGCCAATTAACTAGTGAAACACTGTGCTGCCGTTTTTATTAGGTTCCTATCTTTGTTTTTTATGTGGCACAGATAAAATTTTTAGAGCGTTGCACCCTGTTTCTTTTCTCTTAAGCTCTGTGGTTTTTATTGCTCAATTTTCTGTGGTGTGTGATTTTCAGGAATGCCTAAGTTGTTATAGAAAAACAAATTGTGTTTTCAAAAGGTGCTAACAAAATATCTAACAGTAGCAATACTTTTAATTGTCTTATGCTTTTCAACCTATAGTTTCAGTTTTATCTCATTTTAAATTTTTATAACTGCTTTGAGGAAGATATTTTATAAGCGAGGAATCAAAAGATGACAAAAGATGAAAACCTTGTTGGTCAAAAATTAGTCCGTGTCAGAACCATAGTCAGATCCAGTCCTCTGTCTTCCATTGCATTCCACCAACTCCAGGGATCGAGATGAAAGGATCCTGGCTAATTTCTTTGACCACTGTCTTGCAAATGTGCATTGTGTAGCCTTCTTTGGGGAAAAATATTCCTGATAGCCAAGTGAACCCCTTTGATTGAATAGTGAATTTTAAAAAGCAAGGCAAGGATCTTAAATTAAGAATTTAAAAATTGCTGGTTAACAACACATTTAACAGGAAGTAGGACAGTTCTGAATTGGGTAAGAGAAGCATTTAAGGCTGAGAATGATTCACTCATCAGTCACTGCTATAAGCTCCTTTACATGGGCAGTCATTGACTCCCTGGTAATTTTATGATACCCATCATATTGTTCTGGATTTTCATCACTTCCGTGACTGTCGTGGGCAGTACATTGTTTAAAAAAAAAAAAAAAGACATAGTCCTGTCTTCTTGTGTTGCATATATTTTCTTCCTCTGTCTCACCACACACGCTCACTCACACACAGACACACAGACACACACACTCTCACACACACACACTCACACACACAGACACACATACACTCTCACACACACAGACACACAAACACACTCACACGCACACTCATACACACACACACACTCTCACACCTTCGTCTCTAGGTCTTCATATACACTGTTTCCTGAGATAAATGTACGTAACAGAACATGGTAGACTTGACTACATTAGAAGACAGGGTGCTACTTCAGTCAATTTCTCAAGTTCTTGACTTTTTTTCATAAAGAGAAAGATGACCACAAATATTGGTTTATTGTCTTCTTGTAATGAAAGTTTGACTGGAGAAAATGACCTTTTAGACATCTAGAAGTAGCAAACATGTTGTCTTCCTGGGCAGTATACCTTATTGTAATGGAATATTGCTTACGAAACAGGATTAATGTCGTTTTTGAGCTGACACATTTCTTATCCTGCTCTGGAATGCTGTCTTGTGAATAGCACCGACCATAGTGTTCCAATGCCACTCACTAGGGTTATTCAGGATACTCTGCCAGTTTGACACATTGATTCTTTTACATGAAATTAAAAGGAATCTGGGCACTGTGTCATAAGCTGTTGAACGAAGGCAATCATGGTGATTCTTGAATCTGTGCTACTTCAACGCGTGTGTTAAGTGCAATGCTGTAAAGTGAGATTAATTCTAACATTTGCATTTTGCCTTGCCTCCTATGCCAGAGAAGCAAATGTCACAATCTGCATTCCTTTCCTAAATTTTCAGTAAACCAGGACTCCTTTACAGGAAAAGGTACTGCAAAGTATAACATTATAACACAATGTTCCTCAGACCTTTACATTCTACCAAGTTTACACAGAGCATTCTAGTAACACCTTAAAGGATGACTTTATTGTCTATATCTTTCCTGTCGAGTGGCAAATGTCAGATGCCTGGAATCTTAACACCAGATGCCACGGCACTTGAAGAATTTCTTTTGGTAGTGAACTTTCTTTACAGCAGCCTACAATATGGCCAGGGCAATTGGGTGATTTCTGTTTCTCATAGACACCTTATGTTGTTTATTCTTGTCATTTTCTTTTTCTTTTTCCTTTTTTTTTTTTTTTTTTGAGTTGGAGTTTCGCTCTTGTTGCCCAGGCTGGAGTGCAATGGTGTGATCTCTGCTCACTGCTACCTCTGCCTCCCGGGTTCAAGCAATTCTCATGCCTCAGCCTCCCGGGTAGCTGGGATTACAAGCGCCTGCCACCACGCCCGGCTAATTTTGTATTTTTAGTAGAGACAGGGTTTCACCACATTGACCAGATTGGTCTCGAACTCCTGACCTCAGGTGATCCACCCACCTCGGCCTCCCAAAGTGCTGGGATTACAGGTGTGAGCCACCGCGCCTGGACTTATTCTTGTCATTTTCTAAAGATGACTTGCATTCCTTGAAAATTAAAGGAGAGGTTATTGTGAGAGATGCAAAGAAAATACCATGACCAGTTTGTGTGTTCCTCTTTTGGCCATGTGTTCACTCATGAATACCACTCTCACGTAGCTGATCGCTGTCCTCGGTTTAGAGAAGATGACAGAGGGCAAAAAGACAAGGGAGACCTGATGTGCTAAGAAGTGAGTTCCTGCAATTTTTTAAAAAATTCAAACATTTTGGGGGGAAAAACTGTGCATTAGCTGGCTTTCTATTAATGAATCCTCCTTTCTTTTCTTTGCTGAACCAAGTGTCTTTTCTGTGTATATTAAGCTAAGAGGGCCCCCCGCACAGTAGACTCACTGTAAGTACTTGCAGCATGAATCAATGAACAGGCCTGGAGAGCGTGCTGGAAAAAGCAGCCAGACTCATGGTAAAATCTACTAGATTAAGAGCACTTGTATCCAGGCCATGACAGAAACTGCGAAGAACACTCAGCAGCTGTCTAGCCCAAGCCTGCTGAAGTATTCACACAGCTGGGCACAGTCTTCTCTGGGTCTCTCAGGTAATAGACCAGCTGATAAAAGACTGTTTGCTCTGGTTCTCTGTCAGGCTTGTTGCTGTCACCTTGCAGAGCAGATGCTTCTCCCAGGTGCTTAATCCATATCCGTGTCAAAACACAAAATTGCCCCCATGCTTCCTAACAATTGACAACTTAAATAACATGGCAGTATTTGGAATAGAATTGTTTTAGGCTGATATTTTTGGTGGTTCTAGGCTAAATACCAAAACGTAATCATGACTACTTCTATTCTCAATGGACTGTACGGGATTTGATTGAGAGAACAGGCTGGCCCTATTTCTCCATTCTGGTCACTGTGCCCTGGCCTGCAGGCTAAAGAAAACACTCAATGTCCCCCTCATTCCCCCCACATTCTCTCTATCTCCCTAGCAACAGCAAAGCCTGGCATCATTGCCTGAAACGGGCCCTTAAAAAAGAATAAAGATCATTGTCTCCAGAGTTATACCTAATTTCCCCTTGGTAAGGCTGTTTGCATCCAAATGCACAAACATTTTAAGTATAAAATCATAAGAATGAAGTCAGTCGATGGAGTGAGGTGAAGAGCTGAGTATCAACACATGACCGAAATCCTCATTAAACACATTTCCTTATTGTCTTCTATTTCTGTACCCTGAGGCGATGTGACTTTGGCTGAGGACACCCACCCAATGTTATGGAGCTTGGGACTAACCACTTCTCTGGGAAGACATCTCATTCATTCATTCATTCATTCAGTCATTCATTCAAAAGTATTGACTTAGCATCTGTTGTGTGTCAGATACTGCAGGTGCTGGGCGATACATCAGAGAAACAATGCTCTTACTCCTGTCAAATTTCTATTTAATGGTGGAGACGTTCGTGTGTTGACCTGATTTATAAATAGGGCCTATTAAAAGGCCCGTCGTAGAATGGGTGATCAATAATCAGTATCCTCTTTTTATCTTCTCTTTACCTAGATTTTAATTTTCTAAAGGATACCTGTGTATTTTAGTTGGTTTGAATGAATACCTAAAGCTTTTTTAACAGTTTGTTGAGATCGCTCAGTGAATTAATAAATAGATTTAAAGGGCCTACTCACTGCTTTTACTAAGTGGGAAGTACCAGGATAATTGATGCACTCAAAAAAGCCTGATTTTAAAAAATATAATATGCATTTGTTATTTCTCTGCCATGACAGTGGTTACATTGAACTCCTGTTAGATTCTTCTTCATTGTGGAACTATTAATAGGCGCATGAATTTAGTAAGTTTTTCTTCAAACACTTAAATTCATTAGGAGGGAGTAGAAAGAGAGCATTTTCAGGGCCCACTCATAGTATTTTAGATGGTCTCAGGATCCTCTCTGTAAATGACTCATTCAGTAAATTGCAAATAGAGATTGGGCGGGAACAAGAGCATTTTGTATGGTCATATTTATACAAAAGCTGGAAAAATATCTAAACCATGGGAAATACAATAGAATCTTTCAATAAAAATCTATTCAAACAAAACACATTCAACAGGTGAACAAATACTGATTTGCCTGCAAGTACTTTTCTTTCATTTTTACACTCTTTCTCCCTTGCAAACTATCTCATTACCTGGTTGTTAGTGTGATTTGAAAGAAAATACTGGGACGCCATTCACATAACATGTTTTGCCAGTTAACCGCTTCTGTTCCAAACTAGGCATCTAGGGTGTTGTGTGTATGTGAGTGGATAGATGTGTGTATGTGTGTGCACACAGGAGGGTGTGTTCATGTGTGAGGATGTGTGTGTAAAGGTGTGTGCGTATGTGTGCGAGTGTGGGGACGTGTGCATAAGTGTGTGAGGGTATGTGTATAAGGGTGTATGTGTGTGTAAGAGTGTGTGCATGTGTTGGGTGGACATGTATTTGTGTGTGAAAGGGTACGTGCATGTGTGTGGACATGTGCGTATATATGCCTGTGAAGGTGTGTGTGTAAGGGTTTGTACGTGTGTGGACATATGTGTATGTGTGTAAGGGTGTGTGCATGTGTGTGGACGTGTGTACATGGCCATGTGAGGGTGTTTGTGTAACAATGTGTGCGTGTGTGTGTGAGTGGACGTGTGCATATGTGCCTGTGTGGGGGTGTGTGTAAAGGGTGTATGGACGTGTGTGCATGTGAGGGTGTGTGTAAGGGTGTAAGGGTGTGTGCGTGTGTGTGGACATGTGTGTATATGTACATGTGAGGATGTGTGTAAGGGTGTGGACATGGGTATATATGTACATGTGAGGGTATGTGTGTAAGGGTGTGTGTGTATGTGTGTGGACATGTGTGCTTATGTGTGTGAGGGTGTGTAGTAGTGTGTGCTTGTGTTGTGTGGACCTGTGTGTGTATTTGTGCATGGGAGGGTGTGTGAATGTGTGTGGACGTGTGTGAGTGTGTGTGTGTGTGTGTGTGAAAAAGAGATGAGAGAAAGAATATAGCTACTCATGGTTTCTTGGAAAATATATTAACCATTAACCTCTCTTCTCGTTATTCTGATGTGAATTCCATGCTTCAGCCCCCATAAACCTTTCCAAATTCATGTCTACTGGCTACTCTCTACTTTAGAGAAAGTCACTTCCCCTTTCTACACCTTTTTCCTTCTACAAAAGAGAAGGTGGGTCCTCTGCGGCGGCCCTCGGAGAGCAACAGCCATGGTCCTGCACTACCCCATGGCCGTGGGCCTCAACAAAGGCCACAAGGTGACCAAGAACGTGAGGAAACCAAGGCACAGCCAAGCGGGCGCCTCAGCAAACACCAAAATCGCGCAAGACATGCCCCGAGAGGTGTGTGGCTTTGTCCCATAGAGCGGTGTGCTGTGGAGTTGCTCAAGCTCTCCCAGGACAAACAGGCCCTCAAGTTCATCAGGAAAAGGGTGGGGGGCACACTTCCCCCCCAAGAGAAAGTGAGAGAGCCTGTGCAATGTCCCGGCCCCGCCCTGAGGAAAGCAGCTGCCAGGGACTGAGCCCCTTCCCCCTTGCATAAGAAAACCTTTGCAGAAAAAAAAAAAAAAAAGATGGGAAGAGTAGTTTGTTGGAAAACCTTCATGGCCCACCCAGCTGTAAGATTATGCTCTTCTTTTTATAAGTGTCTCAGGGGAAACGTGTCCTCCGATTCTCTGCATCCCTTCCCTAAGAAGCTGACATGCTTATTAGCAACAGTGGCGTCGCTGATGCCTGAACCCACGAGGGCATGGGTGACCGACGACATTAAACTCCATCTAGAAACTGGAGATTCAATATGATGTGGAGTTCAGAATTTGTGTTTTTCTGAATGTGTTTCTCCATCGACTTGTTTTCTATTCAAAAGTTAGAGAAAACTAATCAGTGGCGTTAGAAGCACTGGAAAAGAAAATACATTTGTAAATTATTTCATAAAAACTTGGGAACGGAAATTAGCCAGTGAAAGCAGTTAAAAACTCGTAAAAGAATCTACCTGAGAAAATATGAGATGTCTTCAAAGAAATGAAGCATGTACCATTTAAAAACAGATGGTCTGAAAATTTTAAAACCTTGAAATAATATAGTAGCTGAAGTTTCTTGTCAAATTAGGTTGTTAAATAATACAACAGCTTTTTTTGACAGCTCAAGAGAGGGTTACAACAGATTATAATTACTACAATTAGTAATTGTGATTTAATCATGAACAACCTAAATATAGGCAATAATAGAGTGCTGATGAAAATGTGTTAAGTAGGTCTTTAACATGATAATCTCATGACTTCCTCAAACATCACATATGTGCAAATATATTTTTTCTTAGACTTCTTTACTTTTTCTTTATTTTTAAGCCAGCGCAGTAACTATCATTAATGTCCACTGCTGTCTTTCAAAAGTACATAACTGGAATTTTAAACTAACTGCCTATTTAGCATTAAGTATATAACTCAGAGCTTTGTTAAGACAAGAAACCTGTATGATCAGTTCTCTTCACAACACCCGCTCCCGGCCCCTACCTCACCCTCCTGCTGAGTGATTTGCTTTTATACCCAGCTGTAGCACCCAGAGCCCAAATTCCCATCTCAGCTATGATAAAACCTATTAACCATCAGGAACCTACTGAGCCACTTGCAAGTGGAAAAATCTATAACTCCAGTACACTCACAACTGCTGTTGGCTGTGCGTCAACTCAGTCCTTGGACTTCCCTACTTGCTTCTCTCTACTTCCAGAGTTATACTCTGGTTTTAGCCGTGACCATGGCTCTCCCAGGTAGCCATAACACCCTCCTAGATTATTTCTCTATTTTCACACTTGCGAACTTGCCTCTAGAGTCTTTTCTACCACAGCAATCAGAGTGATCCTGTTAAAATATAAATTAGGCACAGGCTTGTAGTCCTAGTTACTCGGGAGTCTGAGCCAGGGAGAATAGAGAATGACTTAAGCTCAGAAGTTTGAGCCCGGGCTGGGCAACGTAGCAAAATCTCATCTCTCAAAAAATTAATAAAATAAAGTGTAAATTAGCCAAATGATTGATTAATATAAATTTCTCTTATAGATGTATTTAAAATAGTAAATGAAGAATAAGTGATAGAATGCAAAATATTATCATTTTGAAAGAATCATCAGTAGGCTATTATTACTACAAAAATGAAACACAACCAGCATGACAGTTCCTTCTGATGGACGTGCACCACCTGCACCTATGAAGAAGTCTTGCCCCCCAAAATAAATCCTGCATCTTAGCAAGCCACTAAATCTAATGACCAATTTATAGGAAACAGAGGAACATGTTAAATGAAACCATAGGCATACAATTAGCAATTGCAGACTGTGAAGAACTCCACAGGGCAAACAACCCAGTTCCCTTAACAACAATAAAAACAAATGCCAGAAAAAAGAGAGATGTTGGGGATCCTATGGATTCAAAGAGATTTAAGGGATATCAAACAGTCACAGAGTATAGATTTTATTTTGATCACTATTCAGACATACAAACTGAAAAAAAGGTTTACCAAAGAAATATGACCATTGTGTAGAGTAGACATCTAATGGTATTAAGTAAGCATTGTTAATCTTCTACGTGTGAGTCAGAGGTGTGATGGTGCATTAGTCCATTCTTGCAGTGCTGTAAAGAACTACTTGAGACTGGGTAATTCACCTAGAAAAAGAGGTTTAATTGACTCACAGTTCTGCAGACTATACAGGAAGTATGGCTAGGGAGGCCTCAGGAAACTTACAATCATGGCCGAAGGGGAAGGAGGAGCAGGCACATCTTACATGGCTGGAGAAGGAGGAAGAGAGAGCAGTGGGAGGTGCTGCACATTTTTAAACTACCAGATTTCATGGGGACTCACTCATTATCACAAGAACAGCAAGGGGGAAATCCACCCCCATGGACCAATCACCTCCCACCAGGCTCCTTTTACAACACTGGGGATTACAATTTGACATGAACTTTGGGCAGGGACGCAAATCCAAACCATATCAGATAGTAAAGAATTAACAATTTTATTACTAGAAATAAAAGCCCTGCTGTTAGTATTTGTGGATTTTCATGGTGTATACACTCCCTTCATGGTTAATTTCAAGCCACGTTCATGAAGTCATGGGTCCGTGAGTGGGAAGAGTGGCATACACAGTTTCTCTTTGGCTGAGCAGGTATGAGCTGATTTAACCGCTACCGGACGTGATAATAGTATTACAGTGGTGTTAAAAAAGAAAGAAAGAAAGAAAGAAAAGAATGCCTGTCTTTTAGAGATCCCTACTGAAATACTTATGGTTGAAAAGACATGACGTCAGAAGATTTCTTCAAAATGATTTGGGGTGAGGGTAGGGTAGAGAGTGTAAATGAAACAGTAATGACCATGAATCAGTAATTTTGAGACTGAATCATACGTACACTAGAGTATACTATCATTTTTCTCTACTTTGCTCATGTTTAAAATTTTGTATGATAAGAAAAATTTTTCAAAGTAATTTGTTTTACTGAAAATTCCCAAGGTGCTCCCTATCTGAGTAGAAGCCAAAGTTTTTTGTTTGTTTGTTTGTTTGTTTTGAGACAGAGTCTCGCTCTGTTGCCCAGGCTGGAGTGCAGTGGCGTGATCTTGGCTCACTGCAAGCTCCGCCTCCCGGGTTCAGGCCATTCTCCTGCCTCAGCCTCCCAAGTAGCTGGGACTACAGGCGCCTGCAACCATGCCTGGCTAATTTTTTGTATTTTTAGTAGAAACGGGGTTTCACTGTGTTACCCAGGATGGTCTCGATCTCCTGACCTCATGATCCACCCACCTCGGCCTCCCAAAGTGCTGGGATTACAGGCGTAAGCCACCGCGCCCGGCCGGCCGAAGCCAAAGTTTTAAGATGCCTGCAGCTGATCCTCCCCCTTCACTTTGTTCCACTCACCCTCCTGCTGTTCCTGCAATGTGCTAGGCCTGCTCTCACCTCAGGGCCTCTACGCTGGCTGCTGTCTCTGCTCAGAATACTTTCCCCCAGATAAACCATGAATATTACTTCCTCACTTTCTTCAAGTCTTTGCTCAGATGTCAACTTCCTAATAAGGGCCCCATTTAATGTCCCATTCTGCCCACAGCTCTGGCCCAGAACTCCTGATCCACAGTGCTGATGATTTTCTAACATATTTGACATCTATGAATGTCATAGTATTTTTCTTCTTTACTCGATACTTCTGATATATCATTTGCACTAACTACTACATTTAAAGTATATTTTTGGAAGACTGAGCTGTTGGAAATGCCTTTTAGAATTGATAAAGGTAATGCACATTGCTTTAGATTCTATTCAAAAGGTCAGCATAAGCTTGTTTCTACACTTAAGTGCAGAGGTAGAAAACTTTTAAGAGATTACACTATTGTAAGTATCTTAAAATTGATAAGTTTCAAGAGGAAAAAGAATTATAGTTAGATCAGTTTACTTCCAAAATAACTTTGCCATTATTTTAATAAATTCACAATTTTTAATGAGGATGCTGGTTCTTTTGAATTGTGGCACACTTGCAGAATGTCTCTCACTCCATTTCCCCATTGTCCTTCAGCAAACACTTACACAACTTAACATGCTGCTCTCTCTACCAGTTCATCTTGACCTCCATAACCCTTAACCATCATCCCTAAATATTCAGGGTAACATGCTGTGAAAACTTCAATCAAGAATAAATCTCCTTACTTTGTGGACTTTCAAGCAAACACTGATGATTCTATTTGAACCCCTCAGTGTCATGACCTAAGCAGGGAATTTGAGAACTCGTTTGATGCTTTTACATATATGTAGTTAAGGTGCATGGGTGTAAATGCTGATTAAATTATCCAGTCATTGCATTACTTTACATTTCCACACAGCTTTCTTTGCTCTAGCATGTATTTGCTATGAGCTATTTCAGTGACCCAGGAATAGTAGCTCTGCAGGGTAGAATGTGAAAACCATGGCTGGTTCATTGATTAAATCAAATCACAACTAACTCATCATTGAAGACCTTGTTTTTATTCTGTTGTGCAAGATTCAGTGGGACTTGGGCTTTGGCATAGATATGGCTAAAAGGAAAGGCCTGGCAAATAAGAATATGAAAAGGTGCTTGACATATATCTCACTAGGGAATTACAAATTAAACTAACAATGAAATACCATTAACACCTATTAGAATGGCCAAACTCCAAAACACTGACAACGCTGAATGTTGGCAAGAATGTAGAGTAACAGTAACTCTCATTCATTGTTGGTGGAAATGCAAAATGGTACAGCCACTTTGGAAGAAAACTTGGCAGTTTCTTACAAAAGTAAACATACTCTTACTGTACAGTCAAGACATTACAATCCTTGGTATAACCCACATGAGCTGGAAACATGTCCACACAAAAACCTGTGCACAAGTGTTTATAGCAGCTTTGTTCATAATTGCTAAAACTTGGAAGTAACCAAAATGTCTTTTAGTGGGTGAATAGATAAACTGTGGTACCTCCAGACAATGGAATATTATTCAATGCTAAAATGAAATGAGCTGTCAAGCTATGGAAAGACGTGGAAGAACCTTAAATGCATGCTAAGTGAAAGAAGTCTATCTGAAAAGTCTACATACTATGTGATTCCAACTATTTGACATTCTGGAAAAGGCAAAACTATGGAGATGGTGAAAAGATTAGTGGTTGCTAAGGCTTAAGAAGAGTGGGAGGGATAAATAGATGGAACACAGGATTTGATTTTTGATATTTGATACCCTAATGGTGGATATATGTCATTATAAATTTGTCCAAACCCATAGAATATATAACACCAAGAGTGAACCCTAGCGTAAACTATGAACTTCGGGTGATTATGATGTAGCGATGTAGGTTTGTTGATTGTAATAAATGTACCACTTAGATGCAGGGTGTTGATAGTGGGGTAGGTTGGGGAGGGGACAAGGATTATATGGAAACTGTACTTTCCACTTAATTTTGCTGTGAACCTAAAACTGCCCAAAAAATTGTCTTTTTTTTTTTGAGACATGGTCTTGCTCTATCACCCAGGTTGGAGTGCAGTGGCGTGATCACGGCTCACTGCAACTTTGAAAACCTGGGTTCAGGCGATCTTCCCACCCCAGCCTCCCGAGTGGCTGGTATTACAAGTGTGTACCATCACTCCTGGCTAATTTTTACTTTTTTTTTTTTTTTTTTTTTTTGGAGAAACGAGGTATCTGTGTGTTACCTAGGCTCCTGGACTCAAGCAGTCTTCCCACCATGACCTCCCAAAGGATTACAGACATGAGCAACTGTGCCCAGCCTTTTTTTTTTTTTAAAGGCCTAATAAAACTGGGACGAGAGTACCTAAATGATGCTTTAATGTGACAGTTAAGGACTAAAATGAAAGACTTCTCCATCGTGCTCATATGTAATCGTACCAGGTTGTTATCTATTGATTTGCAAATAGAAGCATAAATAGATTTCAAAAATGAAAATTAACACTATATTTTGAAATTTACAGTGGATTAGATTTCATAGTCTTTTCTGTTTCTTGCAAAAGATGCTGGATATGTAGTGATACTCATTTCAAATCATTTCTGAAATATCTAGTTGCCATAGCAGCCAAAGCTGATGATGAAATTTCTATACAAAGCTCTCAGAAATGAGATTTGCTAAGAAAGTCTTTTGAATTGTTCAAGATAGTTGGCTTTTTCCTATCTCACCTTCAAAACATTTTTTTACTTCTAAGTTCTCTACATTTATTCTAGCACTAAAACTGTAGTATTTTTAGAGCTAAGAAAATGTATGAATCATCTAGGAGGCACACAAGATATGGTCAGTGTATGATAACAGGAGGGAATAATGGAAACACGGATCTTCCTGGACATTGTGAGGACTATTAGCAAGCCTAGAAATGTCAGAGTGAGAAAGGGAAACTTGAAAGTTTTCAGAATTGTACTGGCTCAGATTCGTTAGCCCTGTGTCTGCTTAAATATGTATTATTTCTTTGTGATTGATTCTATATTTAAGCTTGTACATAGTAGCGTTAAAATTAAAGTGGGTGAGCAGAGTTCCTCATGTCTGCAGAGATTACTTTGCCAGCTCTGGGCTTCCCTGGGGATGCAGTTTTGCAGCCTCTTGTTCTTTAGGTGCTAAATTATGTGACGGCACATGTGTTTCCAGACATAGCACGCGCAGCTCAATTGACCTTGTTACATTTGTTTTTGTATTTTTTTTCTCTAGAAGCTTATCTTGAGATAGTCAAAATACTGTGGAAAAAAATAAAATAAAAACACTGGACACTGATCTTAGTCCAGGAGATGCTGGAAGAGCGTTGACTTTACTGATATTGCCACTGCCGATTAATGGCCAGCATGGATCGCCTGTGACTTGTGCTGCTCAAGTGTTTACTTAATGCTTGACATATATAGAAAGAATAAGACTTATTTGGGGAGGATTCATTGTGAGATGCTTCTCTGGTCTACTCTGTAGGCTCCAGAATTTTCTCTAAAGTTGTATCTTGGTTTGCATTTAGACTAAGCATCTCTATAATCATACCCGAGGGTACAGATAATTCTTTTAGTTCAATGAAGCAATGGTAGAAGGTGTCGTCAGGGAATGTAGTGTCAGAAGGCGTGATTTAGTTGAAAAGATAAAGTAGAGAAGGGCTTCCTGAAGTGGTTATGTGTAGGCTGGGGACCTGAAGAACTAGTAGATGTCAGTCAGGAAAATCCCAGTTTGGATTAAGGCACTTTATTTCAATCTTTCAGACATAATACAAGTTCCAGCAAAGTCTTCACACAGATTACTACTTTGGCTTGGAATACTGGTCTCCTCCTAGCTTCTAATTAATTCTTTCTGTGATTAGTTAATATCTGTCTTCTCTGGTGACCCTCAATCAAGGGATTCATTTTTTAAAAAACCATCCTGGGTTTTAGTAGTTGGGCGTTGTGATTCTTCTTTTGTATCTCACTGGTCACTGTCCAACTAACTTTTTCTTTGAGGGGAGCAGTTTAAGGTTCTTGTAGCAGATTTAATGGGAAATGAATGGGACTTGGCTTGAAGATCTTCCTGTGCCACTTGAGTTCCCTTTAATAAATGATTTTGGTGGTTTTCTCACTGACTTTTAAAAAAAGTATTAATATATTGATTTGCCAATTTGAATGATGCACACCTGTGTTCTGGTATTTAGTTTCGATCTAGTGGTGATTAAACTTTGCAACATACTAGAGGATGCCCAGGTCATTTGGTGCCTTCAGACCGAAGCCAGTGTGTGGACATGCTGCCATTTTGAGGCAGGTTGTTTGATTTTACTTTCTTTGCTGCGTTTCTTTAGAAAACGATTGAATACTTAGCTCTCAGGATTAAGATTTTAAAAAATACTGTAACTACTTAAATCATCCAGTTATTGAAGACTGGATTAATGGGAGACTTGAGGGTTTATAAACTCAAGAGCTACCTATGGTTCAGCACAGAAATTGTTTTCATGTAGATCTCATGGCAACCCCAAGCTTCGTTATGTCATTCTTCCGAGCATTGGCCAATTACACTGTTGGGTTTTTGCCTGATGCCGATCCGCTGGTGACATGGCCTGTCTTATTTGCTTAATAAATTTCTAACTTTCTGAAATGAAATTTGTAGGATCACAGAGCTTATTATGGATTTTCCCCGCCCCATCCCCTTACAGTAATGCTGAAGAATCAAAGCTGCATCCAATCTGGATATAAAGAAAGCCAATTAATTATATTCCTATATCTCATTACAGCAATTCACATCTTCTCCCCACATAGGTGGGACACTCATCATATCTTCTTCATATTCAGTCTACTCACCTTCACCTGATTCTGTAATGGTGCTGCTATCCTTCTGAGGATTTATTCTTATAATGTATGTTTTCTTTCCATCCATTCTTCCATAAATTCATTCCACCAGCATCCATTGAGCTCATTCTATGGGCCAGACCCTGATTTAAGTTCTGGGGATACAGCAGTTCATTACATGCACAAAAATCACTTTCTTTATGGAGTTCACATTGGAAAGACATGAGGCAATGGATGAGACAAATAAGTAAAATATACTTAGGGGCCAACAGGGACATGAACAAGACCCAGCAAGTTTGTCTTTACAGGAATATTTTAGGTGTGAAAAGTTTCCTCTTTAGTATTAAGGAAGAGTCAGTTTGATAAAGGAGCTGCGAAAATTGTGACTTAAAAAAAAAAAACCCAGCTAATTAAAACAAATTCAATTGGACTTGATAACCATTTATTTTTAATTCAGGAAGCTAGGAATGAATTTGTGTCTCCTGCCTGCTACCTTACTGCATGACAGATTTCATCATTCCAGTAATTATAGAAAATATCTCAAATCAGACAGTGCTTGCAGGCACCTGCAGCCAGACTGAGTCCCACACAGCAGTGTCTGAAAGAACAACTTCATTTCCATGCAGGCCACAGACTAGAATGTAGTTAGTGCTGGGCAGAGTTAAAGTACAACAGTTGCTCTGTTGGTTGCTGTGGTGGTGGCCTCAAACCATTAGCACTCAAGAGATGAACGTCTTCCGTCCATGTGGACAAAGGAGGAATGACTTGACACTTAGGATATTGGACTCCAGATGTGTTTTTAAAATGGTAGTTCCCACAGGAAAGTGTCTATTGCAATGACATTGGACATGTTGATTTTATTTCTTATTTTTTACTTAAAATTTTTTTATGTCACTTGAGCGCCTAATCACTATTTCCAGTAGCGACTTGTCAGTGTGCAGCCTCTTTGAACTTTGCATAACATTTCACATCAAGGGTGACTCTCTTGTTGGTGTTTGTTTCCTACTCTGCAGTGTTGAAATATGCACTCCTCTTTCTGTTTGCTGCTTCTGGCTGTGTCAGCGGCTACTTCTTTTCTGTAGTGTGGTCCTCTGGTATCTTCTCCTATCTTCTCTTTCTGTCTTATGTGCATCCCTTCTTCCCCTTCTTCCTCCTCCTCCCTCTCCTGCTCTTCCTTTCCTGGTCTCCTCCTTTATTATCTGACCACCTCTCCTGTCTATACAGATAATTCCCAAATCCACACCACCAGCCCAGGCTTCTCTCTTAAGTTGCAACTTCTCAGAATCTTCTCAAGATACTCCATGGACACTTTAAGCTCAACATGTTCGAAATAAGCTGCACATATTCTTCCTCCAACTTTTGTGACTAATATTGATCTCTGATTCATCACCCAGAATCTAGCCTTCAAAGCCTTCTTCAGTCCTGTCTTCTCCCAGGCGGTTTATACCCAACCATTGGCTGAGTCTTGTACTCAACACTCACATCTACCATGTCCTCTCTTTTGTCACTGAGACCACATAGTCAGGCTGACACTGCTTGACACTTGGACTATCACAATAGCCACTCACCTCTAATCCATTTAATTTTAGATGCCATTTGCCGACTCCGGAATCTCTAGAAAGACAGCTCCAACAACAGCCCTTTCTAATTCAAAATATGTGCTACAGACAGAAGAAAATCTCTGCCCCTAAACATGGCATTCAAGGCCCTTTCTTTGCTCTCACACATCCCAGTTCTCCAACGCCTTTAGGACGTGGCCTGTGTTTTCTTACCGACTTGTCTTTTGGGACATTTCACCTTTGCTTTGAAGGCTCTTATCCTCAGACTCCATTATTAATGTCTGTATATTTGTAAACATATCTTTTTTTTTTCTTCTTTTTTTGAGACAGAGTCTTGCTCTGTCACCCAGGCTGGAGTGCAGAGGCCCGATCTCGGCTCACTGCAACCTCCACCTCTCAGGTTCAAATGATTCTCCTGCCTCATCCTCCCAAGTAGCTGGGATTTCAGGCATGCACCACCATGCCTGGCTAATTTTTGTATTTTTTTTTTTAGTAGAGACGGGGTTTCATCATGTTCGTCAGGCTGGTCTTGAACTCCTGACCTTGTGATCCGCCCGCCTTGGCCTCCCAAAGTGCTGGGATTACAGGCGTGAGCCACCGCACCCGGCCGCAAACATATCTATTTTTAATAAAACATTACAAGTTTTAAATTATGAAAGTAACTTCACAGAAAGGTTGGAAGAAAATAGAAAAATAGTAGGAAGGAACTAAAATTCTTACATAATCACATCACTCAGTTAGAGGAACTATTATTTCACCTCCGTTTATTTTTGCTGATTTATAGTCATACATTGCTGAAAACCAGAGTATGTTCTGAGAAGTGCACCTATAGGTGATTTCTCTTCTCTCACCACTATTTGTTTCTTTAGTTGACTAACACCATAGCGTGTACTTACACAAACCTAGATGGTGTAGCCTCCTACACACCTGGACTTTATGGTATAGCCTGCTCCTAGGCTACAAACCTGGAAGCGTATTGCTCTCTTGAATACTATAGGCAGTTGTAACACCATGGTAAGTATTTGTGTATCCAAACATAGAAAAGGTACAGTAAAAATATGGTATAGAAGAGGAAAAAAATGGTACACCCATATAGGGCACTTGCCATGAATGGAGCTTGCAGGCCTGGGAGTTGCTCTGGGTGAGTCAGTGAGTGAGTAGTGAGTGAATGTGAAGGTCTAGGACATTACTGTACCCTAGGGTAGACTTTATAAACCCTGCACTTAGGCGATACTAAATTTATTTTTAAAATTTCCTTTTCTTCAATAATAAATTAACCTTAGCTTACTGTAGCTTTTGACTTTTACATTTTTTAAAATTATTTTATTGTATGTTTTATTTTACTTTAAGTTCTGGGATACATGTGCAGAATGTGCAGGTTTGTTACATAAGTATACATGTGCCATGGTGGTTTGCTGCACCTGTCAACCCATCGTCTAGGTTTTAAGCCCCCATGCATTAGGTATTTGTTCTTGCCCCCCACCCCCGACAGGTCCCAGTGTGTGATGTTCCCCTCCCTGTGTCCATGTGTTCTCATTGTTCAACTCCTACTTATGAGTGAGAACATGTGGTGTTTGGTTTTCTGTTCCTGTGGTAGTTTGCTGAGAATGATGGCTTCCAGCTTCATCCGTGTCCCAGCAAAGGACATGAACTCATTCTTTTTTATGTCTGCATAGTATTCCATGGTGTGTATGTGCCACATTTTCTTTATCCAGTCTATCACCGATGGGGATTTGGGTTGCTTCCAAGTGTTTGCTATGGTAAATAGTGCTGCAATAAACATACAAGTGCATGTGTCTTTATAGTAGAATGATTTATATCCTTTAGGTATATATCCAGCAATGGGATTGCTGGGTCAAATGGTATTTCTGGTTCTAGATCCTTGAGGAATCGCCACACTGTCTTCCACAATGGTTGAACTAATTTACACTCCCACCAACACTGTAAACGTGTTCCTATTTCTCCACAGCCTTGCCAGCATCTGTTGTTACCAGACTTTTTAATGATGGCCATTCTAACTGGTGTGAGACGGTGTCTCATTGTGGTTTTGATGTGCATTTCTCTAATGACCAGTGATGATGAGCATTTTTAAATTTCTTAACTTTTTGACTCTTCTTTACAAAAATATTTTCTTTTTTATATTCTTATTCTATAAGCCTTTTTGTGCTTTAATTTTTTTTACTTTAAAAACTTTTTTTATTAAAAACTAAGACACAAATGCAGCCTTAGCCTCAGCGTACACAGGGTCAGGATCATCCATATCACTGTTTCCACCTCCACAAAGGTCTTCAGAGGCAGTAATAGGCATGGAGCTGTCATCTCCTATGACAACAATGCCTTCTGGAATACCTCCTGAAGGAACTTCCCGAAGCTGTTTTATAATTAACTTATTATATACTTCTACTTACGTAAGTAAAAATACACTCTAAATAATGATAAAAAGTATAGTATAGTAAATACATAAACCAGTAACATAGTCATTATCATTAGTAAGTATTATGTACTGTATGTAATTGTATGTGCTACACTTTTTCAACTAGCAGCTTAGTGTGTTTGTTTACAACAATGAGTAATGCATTGTGCTACAACTTTATGACTGCTACAGTGTTGCTAGGCGATAGGAAATTTTCAGCTCCATTATAATCTCATGAAACCATTGTCATATCTGCAGTCCACCGTTGACTGAAATGTTGTTAAGCAATTGATGACTTTATATGTACCGCATGTGCAAAGTTTTGTAAAGTTGATATATACAGCTTTTGCACCCAGCTCTTTTCACTTCATATTACATTCTACAAATTTTCTGATGCGTTTAATGGTATTTGAGAACATGAGTGAACATCTGCAAAATATATGAATGCATTGTAATTTATTTGAACTCTTCTGATTTGTGTCGTAAATAATTTTAAAGAGCTATACTTTTCCTCTACATTTTCAGAATAATTGTTTCTGTGCTATCTTTTTAAGACTCATGGTTTCCTTCTTCCCTCCCTTTCTCCCTTCTCTTTATTTCCTCTTTATTTTTGGGGGGAAGAGGAATGTTCACGACAGATTAGGCTGCTTGGCCATAGTAGAGTAAATGGCTTGTGCACAGATCTACCTACTGTTAACCTGAGTGCTCACAGTGTTTTCCTAGGAGGTGGTGCTGTGAACAGCCTAAGCTCTGTGTTCTGTACTCTTCTGTTGGATTTATGAGATCCTCTTTTATCCCAACTATTTGTCTCTCTGGTTGACTAAATGACTAAGTACGTGAAAACCACAACTCCCAATCTCCACTGCTACCAGGGATCTTCTCCAAAGCCCACTACACTACACAAGCCGCCCTATTGCTTGTTGAGATTGTGTCCCTTTCCCGGGAGTAGTTTATTTCCTAAATGATCCCCTTTGAGTCCTCTCTTTTTATTTTGCACTAAGCTGCTAGTTGAATAAAAGTGTAGCACATACAATTACATACAGTACATAATACTTAATAATGATAATGACTATGTTACTGGTTTATGTATTTACTATACTATAGTTTTTATCATTATTTAGAGTGTATTTTTACTTATGTAAGTAGAAGTATGTAATAAGTTAGTTATAAAACAGCGTCAGGAAGGTCCTTCAGGAGGTATTCCAGAAGAAGGTATTGTTGTCACAGGAGACGACAGCTCCATGCATATTACCGCCTCTGAAGACCTTCCAGTAGGACAAGACATGGAGGTGGAAACAGTGATATGGATGATCTGGACCCTGTGTAGGCCGAGGCTAAGGCTGCATCTGTCTCTTAGTTTTTAAGGGAATTAGTCTCTGTAGAAGGAATAGTATGGATTAAAGAGGCCATGACACAGTTTCTGGCTTGTTCGGTGATTGTACTACAGATGGAAAGCTCCTAGTGCTTTGGTTAAAATGTTGGGAATTCTGGCTGGGCATGGTGGCTCACGCCTGTAATCCCAGCACTTTGAGGCTGAGGCGGGTGGATCACCTGAGGTCAGGAGTTCGAGACCAGCCTGCCCAACATGGCAAAACCCTGTCTCTACAAAAAATACAAAAAGCCGGGCGTGGTGGCAGGCACCTGTAGTCTCAGCTACTCGGGAGGCTGAGGCAGGAGAATCACTTGAACCTGGGACACAGAGGTTTCAGTGAGCCGAGATCATGCCACTGCACTCCAGCCTGGGCAACAAGAGCAAAACTCCATCTCAAAAAAGCAAAAAAAAAAAAAAAAAGCTGGGAATTCTCTGAGCCAGAAAGGGAAAGATAAGGCTTGCCCCTACCTTCCCTTCAGTAGGCAACATTGCCCCATTTTATATTAATAGTATATCTGGACAATATACTGTTTTCCACCCTAGTTGTCATCCTCAATGTAGCTCTAAAAGTTGGTGACCAGTGAAAATTCCTCTAAGGATTTTTAAACCAGAGTATCATCTGCCTTAACTTCTGTCTTCTCCTGTGTTTACATGTGTATTGTAACTGTGAGTCTTACTTAGGAAATAAAAACCACACATTGACAAGGTCCCTACCAATTCTCTGAGACCCATTTAAAATGGTCTCTTCATGAAGTTGATCCTGATGTCCTCAGGGAACTTGGCACATGGTCTTCCTCCTTTGTGTTCTTATATCACCTGGATTCATTCTGCTCTCAAAATGTATATCCTGCCTGGCTTTGTCTGTGTTTATTTTATCCTCTTTACCAGTCTAAGTTCCTTAAGGACAGAAAAGTGTCTTGTTTCTCTTATCATTTGCCCAGTAGAAATCCTTTAAATCAAGAAAAGAGGTGGGGCACGTGGAAACAAAATGTGAGTGTTCACTCTGCAATAGGCTGTGTGCCTGACACTTTACCGGTGCCATTTTATGCTGCCATTGTATCATGGTTAATTGCATACATACATACAAATCTTGTAAGTTGTAATGCCATATTAAAAAGTAGAGTTCGTATTTACAGGTGTTTGTAAATGACAAGTTTGAAATCTGTCTCGCCATTTCATGAGATATTTGCTGTCAACTCTGTTGACAGTTGAGAAAATTGAGATTTGGAGAGTTTATGGTAATTTGTCCAAACTTACATAGCTACAGAGTGACAAAACTAATATCCAAACCCATGCCAAACTAATTTTAGTCTTTTAGCTATACTTCCACCTGATCTCTCTGCTTTGTTAATTTATGCTAGAGTGTTCAGTTAACGTGCAGTTGAGAGGATCATTTATTATTCTAGGCGAGTTCATTCTCTTATTTAATCAAGAAGCAACCTAACTTGAAATGAGAACAGGACACAATTTCCTTTCTACTTAGCATAAAGAAAAATGAAACGAATGATTTTTATTTTGTACTCTGAGATAGTGGGATGATGGGAGAGATAAACGGATCACATATAACCATGCTAAATTTCTAAGTCATTGCTGTATTTTGGTAAGCTTTTGTCAGAAAAGTTATTCATATATTTTAAAAATTCAATCTGTTAGCTAGTAGACTATGTCTGAAGGAAATATGCACACGTTCTTTGGAATGTCTCTTAATTTCCAAATCATCTGAATCACACATTTTGGCATCAGCTGCTGCTGTTTTTCCTCCTGATCATCTTGCCTATAGCAGTTCTGGGTGAGGCACTATTAAATATGTACTCCCTAAATTACAAACTTCTCATTTACAAACACCTGTACATATAAACCCTACTTTCTAACATGACATTTGAATTTAAAGGGAGATTTGCATGCATGTATACCACTAACCAGTATATAAAAATACTGACATAGAAAGTGTAGTACTGCTTTAGCCTTTGCCTCAATTCTGATGATCTCTGTCTTAGAGCAATAAGAAAGTTTGCAACAGAAGATTCACTCTAAGCTAGAATGAGTGATGGAACCAAGACTTTCCTCTTCCGCACTAGGCACTAGGTGATGCTGTGGACCACATGCTTCTGCTTGCCCTCATCTCCATCTTTCCTCTTCTCACTCAGGTAGCAGCAGGCAGTCATGCTCTCCCTCCATCTTCCCTCGTACCACTTCCCACCTCTCTTCAAGCACCAATTGTTTGAGAGTCTGTGAGGAGACCTCTCATGTGCCCAAGAGATTGAGGTGAGGAGGGTTTCTTCAACTTAGGATCAGTGCTCAGGAACTCATGTGCTTTCTAAATATACCTTGTAGTTCCTTTGTAAATATTTGTTTGGTGAGTGAACCAAGTGTACCTTTTCGTTAAGCATTTATTTAACAACTATGTTATAGAATTGGAAGTTCCGTAAATTCTCATACAAAATTGAATGAGAAAACTTCCTCAAGATATGTAGAACCTGATTTTTGGTTGGGGCACACAAGTAGATACATCAGCTGTTACTATAAAATGTGGTGAGCACTATCGGAGAAGCATGGACATGCTATTCAGGGAGCACAAAGGGGAGACCACTAAATCAAGGTTGTGGATCAAGGGGAGTTTCCCAGATGACTGGATAATTGCACTAAATTTGAATAATGAGTGGGCATTTGCTAGATAAAGCAGGTCTGCAGGGCAGAAAGAGGGGAAACTGTGCTTAGGGACCTACAAATAGTTTGAATTGACTGAAGAAGAGAGAGTGTTGGACACTGAGGCATGATGGAGAGGCAGGAGCTGGATCACAGAAGGCTTGTGTGCTAAGCATCTCATTGAAAGGCTGACTTGCATTGTCCCAGGTATGGGGGCTGCTCCAAGAAGAGCATTCCTTACTGGAGGCAAAGGTTAGTATCGTGACTTACTTTGCATTTTAAGCCTTGTACAGCCAAAACAGCAGTAGTGGTAACAAAAGCCTGGGCATTTGCAGAGACTGAATGGATTTATATAATCACTGAGCAGGCGAGTCGTTTTGGTTTAGGCTGATGTCAGAAAATGTGGTCACTGGGAGGGATCCTTGTGATAATCATGTTCCAGGAAGGCTTAGTTCCTGCTGGAGCAGGTAGGGAACATTTCTGTGGCCAGAATCTCTCATTGAACATGGAACACAAAAGCTTGAGTTTGAGGAGGAGTCCTATTCTGCAAGTCCTCAATTTCTTGACCAGAGGCTTTGGGCAGGGCACGATGAAGACAATTTCCAACTTTCCAGAAATGAATTTATTTCTTTACAGGATTGCAATTGTTAGGCGCCCTCAGTTTGAAAATGGAAGTAGACCTTGTGGCCTCCCTTACTTTTGCTTCCAGACAGATAACCGTGGGCTCTGCAGCAAAGCACCTTTTTCCATCTGGGGTGTCTGGGGATCAGAGAGAAGGTTCCCTTTACTCACCATGTTGTATAGTAACAGCGCCCCGTACTTCAGCACATTTATCAGATTTGGGTGGAACTTGGAGGACTTGCTGAACTCTTCAGACTACTCATGTCCTCCAGAAATCCTTCTCTGAGGAACAATAACAGGCATACTTGGTCTCCATACCCACTCGGAGATGAAGGAGCCTGAACTAGATATGTGAGAAAGAACGGAAGCTCTGGAGTAGCACAGAGCTGGAGTCGAATCCTGAATCTTCTCATCACAAGCCACGTGATCTCAGGCAACTTGCTTTACCTCACTTAGCCCATGTTTCACGTGTGTAAAATAGAGACACTACCAGCCTCATGGCTGATGAAACATCAAGTTCTTGGCCACGTGAAACATATCTGCCAATGTTCATTTCTTATGCATTGCCAAAAACTTCACAATTTTTGTGTTGTGGAAATTCTCACTATTTGTCGTAAGGTTCTACATCAAATAAAATGTTAATTGATTTGCTACAAGGTGTCCCCAATTTTCTAGGACACCTTGAAAGAAAAAGAATCTTCTGTCTGATCCCCAGTTAGTCCAGATGGGAAAATTACTTTGTGGCAGAGCCCAAGGTTACCTGTCAGCAAGCTAAAGTAAGGGAAGTTATAATGTATACCTCCATTTTCAATAATTTGTCCAGTGTCATATATTTTTATTTTTTCATTAGAAAATATGGCCCCTGCATTTGCCCAAGCCTGACAGTTATTTGCTTTAGAAAAGGGCAAGATCTTGATTCCTCATAATGTATATGATATTTACTTAGAAGTCCCTCTGTCGTGTGTGTGTGTGTGTATGTGTGTGTTTGAATGTGTGTGTGTGAAGTAGGTATCTATAGAATTAAGGATAACCAGAGAGGTCTTCCTTTGCCTAAGACCATTACACGAGGCAGGACAGCTTGTGGGTTACAAAAAAATAAAACCGGGAAAAGTAGATCCAGGGCGTGTTAGTCTGTTTTCACACTGCTAATAAAGACATACCTGAGGCTGGGTAATTTATAAAGGAAAGAGGTTTAATTGACTCACAGTTCCACATGGCTGGGGAAGCCTCATAATCATGGCAGAAGACAAAGGAGGAGCAAAGTCACGTCTTAAGTGACAGCAGGCAAGAGAGAGCTTGTGTAGGGGAACTCCGCTTTATAAAACCATCAGATCTCGTGAGACTTATTCACTATCACAAGAACAGCACAGGAAAGACCCGCCTCCATGATTCAATCACCTCCCACTGGGTCCCTCCCACAACACATGGGAATTATGGGAGCTACAATTCAAGATGAGATTTGGGTGGGGACACAGCCAAACCATATCACAGGGATTTAAATGTCATAAACTCTACTGATGACCTCATTGCCACTTGTCAATTACACCCTCAGAAATGGTTTCTACTTTTACTGAAGTTCATTATGTTAAAGGGCAGACTGCCTTTGGAGCTGAGACTCCTGACACATCATGACTTTTCTCAGCATTGATCAGTTTAGAATAATTTTGTGATGTCTATATTTGTCATTGTCCATGGGCTTTTTAAATACTGCAGCTAGTTGTACTTTGAGATTTAAGGACCGATTATTTCCTTATGACACACAGAAATCTATATTCTGCAGGCTTTCACAAAAGTATGTTCAGACAGAGTCTTTGCAGGGATTTGGCCCTGAAATCTAGATGTCCCTTGTTGATTGTAGTGTGTGGTGTAGGCCACCAGACAGAATAAGAGGGCTGCAAGTGGCATGTTTATGGGGCTGTGAAGTCACTTTAATGATATTCCTCTTCCTTGAGCAGTGTGGCATAACCAGAGACTTCTGGAAAATTACTATAGTTGGGCTGGCAGCAGCAAGCCACAGGGTGCTGGCACTTGTTCAGAAAGCCCAAAAGACCTGAGAGAAAAACCCTAGTTTGGGCCAAATGGAAAGGAGAAGGAGGAGTTCCGAGGTTGAATCAGACTGATTCCTGGGGAGGTAGGTTTGATATAATCTCTTTGTTATGGAACAGGCAGATAGTTTGTGCAGTCAGGCTTGTTGGTGGGATGACACCACTGTTCACTTCCTTCTCTTCCCCCATCCCCATTTTTTTGGGGGTGGGAATTCTTAGCGGTGTTTCTGAACTAGGTTTAGATGGAAGGAACGGAAGTGGCGTGTATGTGTAATAATAAGAAACGATCTCTCATCCCTTTATCAGACAGAGCTGAAGAAGGGAGTCAGTGTGTAGGATGTCATATGTAGTAGTTTTCTAGTCTCAGGTTTGTCACGAAGAAGCAGTGTAACATTGTCCAAGTCACTTAGTTCTCTTATCACCAGCAAAATGGTCCCTAAAGGCTCTTTCCATCTCAATGCTTCTGTGGCTTTTGATGTAGTAGAACATTACAGAATTGGTGAAGTCTTATTGAAAGTGATGGAGGTGACTTGGGCTAAAGGCTGAGAGAATGGAAGAGACTTAAAGAAGATCCCTTGAAAGAATGATTACCTTGTAGATAATGCAGCAAGAAGTTGGCAGAAAATAAAAAGTGTTGAATTCAAAAGGATGTGATTAATAAACACAGGGACGATGATTACATTCATGGCTCTCATTTTGAGGTTATTATGCGCACTCATGATGGATTTTCAAAAATAAGGGATGTGATTGATCATGACTGATCATTTTTATGCTTATAACCCTGCACCTTTAAAACTAGGTATATACTTGTGGGTAAGAAGTGGGGAAAAGATGGGGCGTGTAACCTGAGGACTATGTTCCACAGAGGGCACTCTCAACTATTGTACAATAATCGGGAGTCCAGCCCTGCAGGGAGAGACCAACCAAGACAAATGAGGAGCTTCGTTGTGAACATTTATTACTTGAAAACAGTTCTAGTATACTGTTTGAAAGCACTGACTCTGGAGGCTGACTTCTTGGGTTTGAAACCTGGCTTTGCTGCTGTTAGCATGTCACCATAGACAAGCTACTTAACTTCTCTGTAACTCAGTTTCCTCAAATGTAAAATTGAGACCTTAATAATACTACTTTAAAAGGTTATTGTGAGAATTAAATGAGTAAGTGTAAAATATCTAAGACAGACTCTTGTTTCCAAGAAGATGGAGTAGGAATAGCGTCCTCTATTAGATCCTCTAATTACAATAAAAAACTGTATATATTGCATAAAACAAATGTAGGGAGGCCATGAAAGAAGAAGAGAACAAGGCAGATTAGCTGGGGACTCAGGACATGAGGAATAACATGCTAATGAGTTCCCTGTGTTTTTTTCCACTCATATCCCATATTTGGAGTAGAAGAAACCCACAACCCAGCAATGCCAATGGGCACAGACAAGACAAGTCCCCAACAAAAGCCTGGTCTCTCTAGTCAAAGCCCTGGAAAAAGGGCAGCATAGAAAGACAGATACTTGGCCGGGCGCGGTGGCTCACACCTGTAATCCCAGCACTTTGGGAGGCTGAGGCGGGTGGATCACGAAGTCAGGAGATCGAGACCATCCTGGCAAATATGGTGAAACCCCGTCTCTACTAAAAATATAAAAAATTAGCTGGGCATTGTGGTGGGTGCCTGTAGTCTCAGCTACTTGGGAGGCTGAGGCAGGAGAATGATGTGAACCCGGGAGGCGGAGCTTGCACTGAGCTGAGATCGTGCCACTGCACTCCAGCCTGGGCGACAGAGGGAGACTCCATCTCAAAAACAAAAACAAACAAACAAAAAAAAACAAAGAAAGACAGAAACTTTTGGATAATAACCACTTTACTCCAGCCAAACACTACAGAAAAAACTGTAGCATCACTCCCACCCATATCAGCAAAGGCTGAGTGGGGAGGCTAGACTTCTACCTTCACAAGCTATAATGGGGTTCCCCAGCACTCTCACTAGGGTGATGTCAGAGAGGCCAAGTAGGGAGCTGGGACTTTTGTTCCTGTCACTGGCATTGAGACTTCCTTCACTTTCCACCACAATGTCAGTAGAGACCATGTGGATAGCTGGACTTGAATCTCCACCTGACAGTAGCAAGGTGCCCCATTCTCTCTCCTTGTCAGAGAAAAGTCAGGACTTTCACCATTGTTCCTGGGGTGTTACTTAGTGGAGAGTCAGGACTTTATTGCCAGGTTAAGGAGGACATCACCACTCTGGTATCATTGAACACCAGGTAGGGAACCAGAACAACCCCCCCTGCCAAACACTCCCCCCACCCCTAGGTGGCATTGGAGGCCATGTTGCAAAACTAGACTTCTACCTCCAACTGGTAGTCATGGGGTGGTTCCTCTTCTCTTCCCTGCCAAAGAAGTATTAGAAAAGCCAACTAATACATAAGGTTCAAATAAGTTTCAAAGTTTCATAACATATGACCAGAAAAATTCTGGGTTTCAACTGAAAATCACTTATATGGAGGACAAGAAAGATCTCAAAAAGAATGAGAAAAGACCATCAATAGATGCCAACACCAAGGTAACAAAGATGCTAAAATTATCTGACAAAGATTTTAAAGGAGCCATGAAAAAAATGATTCAATAAGCAATGCAAACACACTTGAAACAAATGAGAAAATAGAAAGCCTCAGTAAATAAATACAAAGTCTTATCAAAGAAATATAAGGTACAAAAAAGAACCAAATGTAAGTCTAAGGACTAAAAAATACAATAACCAAAGAAAAGCTCAGTGGATTGGCTCATCAGTGGAATGAAGAAGGCACAGGAAAGAATTGGTGAACTGGAAGATAGAACAATAGAAGTTACCCAATCTGAAAAATAGGAAATAGACTGAAATTAAATAGGAAGACTTAGAGATCTGTGGGACTACAATTAAAGATCTAACATTTATGTCATTAGAGTCCTGTAAGGAGGAAAATAAAGAGGTTGGATAGAAAAACACTCAAAGAAATAATGACTGAAAAATTCACGAATTTGGCAAAAGACTTAAACCTACAGATTCAAGAAGCTGAGTGAACTTCACACAGAAGAAACCCAAAGAAATTGATGTCAAACAAACCATAATTAAACTTATGAATATTAAAGAAAAAATCTTAAAAATTTTCATTAAAAAGTGACATCTTACCTACTGGGGGAAAAATTAGATTTTTCATCAGAAACATTGGAAGCCAGAAGGAAATGACACATTTTTTAAGTGCTAAAAGAAAAGAATTGACAACTCAGAACACTATATCCAGCAAAAATATTATTCAGGAATGAAGGAGGAATCAAGACATTCTCAAATGGAGGAAAACTAATAGAATATACTGCCAGCAGACCTGCTGTAAGAGAATGGCTGAATGAAATTCTCTAAACAGAAAGGAAGTGATAGAAGACAGAACCTTGGAACATGAAAAAGGAGCAAAGACTATAGTAAGTGAAAGTATTGTTAAATACAATAACCTTTCCTTCTCCTCTTGAGTTTTCTACATATGTTTGACAGTTGAAGCAAAAACTACAGCACTGTCTGATGTGGCTCTAAATATATATAAAGGACATATTTAAGACAGCTTTTTATAAAAAGGACAGGATAAAAGGACATGAAGGGAGGTAAGATTTCTGTACTTCACTCAAACTGGTAAAATGATGACACTAGTAGATTGTCATAAATTATGTACATATAATGTAAAAACTAAAGCAACAGTATTACTTCTATAAAGAACCGACTTCAAATATAATGATAAGCAGATAGGAGGTGAAGGATGGAAAATGAAATTTTATACACATATTAGTTAAAGGAAACAAAGGAGTTGTTTAGAAAGCTAAAGAGGAAAAAGCTCGTGATTCTATCAATCTATACAAAAGAAGCATGTGACAAAATTTAACACCCATTTATGATAAAAAACTCTCAAGAAACTAGGAATAGAAGTGAACTTCTTCAACTTAATAAAGGACATTTACAGAAACCCTACAGCTAGCATTATTATTAATGGTGAAAGACTGAATGCTTTTCCCCTAATGTTGGGAACAAGGCAACTATGTCTATCCTTACCACTTTTATTCAACAGAGTGCTTGAGGTTTTAGCCAGTGCAATAAGATAAGAAAAAGAAAGGACATTTCGATCAGAAAGGAAGAGATCCTTATTTGCAGATGACGTGATTGTCTATGTAGAAAATTCCAAGAAATATACATAAAAACTCTTAGAACTAACGAATGAGTCCAGCAAGGTCACGGAACCCAAAGAAGAAACCCAAGATACACATCCAAAAATCAATTTTATTTCTATATTATAGTAATGAATGTGAGGACACCAAAATTAAAGATACATACCACTTACAATTGTCTTTTTTAGCAACATGGATGCAGCTGGAGGCCATTATCCTAAGCAAATTAATACAGGAACAGAAAAGAAAATACTGCATATTCTCCTTTATAAGTGGGAGCTAAACATGGTGTATGCATGGGCATAAAGATGGGAATGATAGACACTGGGCACTGGGGACTCCTAGGGGAGGAGGATGGGAGAGAGACAAGGACTGAAAACCTACTTACAGGGTACTGTGCTCACTACTCGGGTGACAGGATCATTTGTACACCAAACCTCAGCACACATAATTTATCGATGTAACAGACTTGCACATGTACTCCTTGAGGGAAAACAAAAGAAAATATGAGTACAGCTATTGACTCTCACAAAACTTAACTACTAATAGACCAGAAGTTTTACTGATAACATAAGTAGTTGAACGTTTAACTAAATATATGGAGAGACATGCCATGTTCGTGGATTGGTTGAGAACATAGTAACGATGTCAATTCTTGCCAAGCTGACATGTAAGTTGAATGCAATTCATAACATAAATAGTTGATTAAAGCATATTTTGTATATATAATACATATTATATTCTTATGATAAAGTAAGCTAGAGAAAAGGAAATGTTACTAAGAAAATCTTAAGAAAAAGTACATTTACAGTGCCATGCTGTATATATCAATGCCTTAAGTTTATGTTGTCTGTTTACAAGATGAATTGTCTGTTTGAAATGGTTGGCAACTGCAGCTGCAGGCCTCAATCTATGGTACATATCAAGCAACTCACATGACTTTTCTCTGCTTCTTGGGAGCACTTCTGGCATCACTAGTGATATTTCATGTGGGTCCCATGGTGTTATTCAGCGTTTACGGTTTGCACTAAACATGATGAAAAATACCCAAGAACCAGAAACTATCACTTTTTGCTGTGATAGGCAATTTACTGGAGAGACGAACTGGCTGTGTGGGGACAAAGAGCGTTTTAAGTGGATACTCACAACACTTGAGCTCACCACAATAGCAACAGAAGGTGGCTACAAAATTATCACAGCAGTACAGTATGGAGTACAGTTGATTTTATGCAATTATAATTTAATACTGCATCTTTAAGTTTGTTTACATTTCTTTTGACTGAAAATGGTGCCACGTACCATCTGTAAGTGTTTGTGTGGGCAAATTTTGATAAATTTCAACTTTTTAATAGACTTGTGTATATTTTATGGTAGTAAGTGTTAAAGTAGACTAGTATCTACATATATTTTATGCATTTATGGCATACCTAACTTTTTCTTATTTTTTTTTATATTTCTAGACTATGTGGTTCATCTGTGAGCTTTGAAATTGTCACAGATCTCTAACAAACTTTGTAGTATATTTATTGAAAAAATCTGCATATAAATGGACCTGAATAGTTAAAAACCTTGTGTTTCAAGAGTCAGCTGTAGTTTGGCAGTTTCTTACAAAAGTAAACTTGCAACTATCATTTTGTCCTTTAGGCATTTAGCCCAGAGAACTGAAGACATATATCCACAAAAAGTCTTGCACACATGCCAGGTGCAGTGGCTTATGCTTGTAATCCCTCCCAGCACTTTGGGAAGCTGAGGCAGGAAGATTCCTTGAGCCCAGGAGTTCCAGACCAGCCTGGGCAACACAGTGAAATCCTGTCTCTATCAAACAAACAAACAAAAATAGCCGAGCATGGTGATGTACACCTGTAGTCCCAGCTACTCAGGAGGCTGAGGCAGGAGGATTGCTTTAGCATGGGAGGTCCAGGCTGCAGTGAGCTGTGATTGCACCACTGCACTGCAGTCTACGTGACAGAGCAAGACCCTGTCTCAAAAAACAAAGACCAAAAACTTGTACACAAATGTGTGGCAGCTTTACTGGCAGTAGTTCTGTGTTCATTTGCTAGAACTACTTAAACAAAGTACAGCAGACTGGGTGGCTTAATTAACAGAAATGTATTGCCTCATAGTTTTGGAGACTAGAAACCTGAGATTGAGGTATCAGCAGGCCATGAGGAAGAATGTGTTCCATTCCCCTCTTCTGGCCTCTGGAGGGATCCGGCAATCACGGGCATTCCTTGGCTTGTAGGTGCATCACCATGATCTCTGCCTTCATTTTCATATGACATTTTCCCTGTGTGCCCACCTGTGTCCAAATTTCCCCTTTTTATATGGACACCAGTCACATTGGATTAGAGGCCCACCCAACTACAGTATGACATTATCTCAACTAATGATACAAGCAACAACTCTATTTCCAAGTAAGATCTTGTTCTGAGGTGATCTCTCAGAGAAACTGGGAATCAGAACTTCACCGTGTAAATTCTTGGTGCACAACTCAACCCACAAAAAACCCCAAACTGGAAAGAATTAAGATGTTCTTCCACAGGGGATTGGTTAAATACACTGTGGTACCTCCTTCCCATAGAATACCACTAGCTATAAAAAGGGATAAACTGTTGATACACACAGCAGCCTGGGTGAATCTCTAGAAAGTTGGGCTGAGTGAAAAAACTAATCTCAGAAGTTTACATATCATATAATTCTATATTTGTGTAAAATTCCTGAAATTTCAAAATTATAGAAACAGAAAGCAGATTAGTGGTTTTTAGGACTGATGTAGGGGATGAAGTAGAGGAAGGTGAGTAAGGTGATAAAAAAGGCAATAAATGGGATCTTTGTAGTAATGGAAAAATTCTCTTCACTATGCCAATTTCAGCATCCTGGTTGTGATATTTTACTATACTTTTGCAAGATGTTAGCATTGGAAGAGGTTGGCTAGAGTACAAATGCTCCCTCTGTATCATATCTTATAGCTGCATGCCAATCTATGGTTATGTCACAATAAAGTTTTAATACAAAAAATATATAGGACATAGGTACATGATACATAGCTAAGTGCTCAGCAGATGTTATTATTATCTTTGTTAGAAGACTATTTTTGTCATACAATTTCAACACTGAGCATGTTTACACAAAATACGTTTGTTCTTTACTTTCCCTCAAAGAACATAGAAACAGTAGGAAAATCAAGGGGAACCCATTCTTCACTGTAACTGAGCTCTGCCCCTCTTTCTGAGTCCTGAATGATGCTCTGTGAGCTCTCTTGGATACTGAAAGGAGTAAAATCTTTTTTCCTAATTCTTTTCCGTGTTCTCCAGTGTATTACTATGTAATTATATTATGTTACATTATAAAGTTATATGTTATATTATATATATTATATATGTTATGAAGAATTTATGAGATCTTGCTGCCTTTCACACTGCCTTTCACATTGTCTTCAATGGCGAAGGAACCACTTAAAGTGGCACTTAACTATGGGGAAGGTGTGTATATGGTTGGAAGTCCCCAAATGAATAGTTGTGGGTATGTGTTCCTTTTATGGTGGAGTAAAGGGATCCTGCTTCCATTCTTTTCTCCAGAAAATAAGGAGATTAGAAACAGGAAACATAAGATTTATTTTCAGTGGAACTAGAAGGTGTGTGCCATCCTAAATGTCAGTGTCTGAACAGGAGTGGACAAGTGCAGTGAAAGAAGTCAAAAGGAGGTGTGCAGAGATGCCGAGTCAGGATGCGCCACGTGGCAGTTCGTAGACAAAGCCAACAGAACGTAGATCTTCAATGCTAGCGGCGCAACAGGAGGGGCAAAACAACCACCCATTGTTGGGAGCAGTGGTGAGGTGTGTGGGCTGGTGGAAAAGGGATACTCAGTGGGTTTGGGTGAATGAGAAAGGACACAGCCATTGCCATAGTTGTGAGCTCTGTGGTGAAGGAGGATCTGCCCTTGAGCCTCCTGTAGCTGCCTTCACCCAACTCTGCACCGCAAAGAACCTCACTAACAACAACAATGGCTGCGCCTGAAACAACTCACTTCGTGCAAAGACAAGTGATAAATTGAGTGGTGGGGTAGGGTGAGGAGAACAAAGAACAGGTCCTGCAGGGAAGTAATGTAGAATAGATTAGAAAAAACAAAAATAAATGGCAGATAGAAAACGTGCATCTAAAAAATCTTCCCAATGCAAAATATCTGTGTTTAAAATACTGGCTTATGTTCATTTTTTAAAGAAAGCAATAATTTCCAGAAAACAAAAACTTAAGCCATGAATATAAGAGGTCATGAAAAATGTGGTGAAGCAATGGAAGAAGATTAAACATGAGCTGATCAAGCTCAGGCAATAAGTAGAAGAAAAAAATACGAACATCAAATATAAAGTCCTGTTTGGAAATAACCCAAGGGAAATTAAAGATTATTGAAAATATGGCAGGAAGCATCGCTGTGACGGCACTGAGAACAGCGGGCAAAACAAAGACAACATGAGCAAAGAGTTAAAATGAGTTTTTCAATGGTAAATATGGAAGACAAAGTGAATCGACAAACAGATATTTGCTATTCCTGAAGAAGAGAATCAAATAACAAAATGGAGAAAAACTAAAGATGCAACTCAGTAAAACTTTACAGAACCAGAAGATTCATAAAAGGTTTCAAATAAATGACTAAGTCTCTTTCAGAATTATTGGTAGGTTTTGCCTCAGCTACTAGACCTCTACTAAACAAATGCATCTTTCTTCTACTGGTTTGATTTCTTCTGTTGCTGTATCTCTTTGAGTAATGTACGCACAAGTGATGGTTAGAGACGAGTGAAAAGTCACAGCTAAAATATCCCCTGGGATGGCAATGCTTACACCCTGGCTTGTTCAAAGTGCATGCTTGATTTTTTTTTTTTTTTGAGATGGAGTCTCGTTTTATCGCCCAGGCTGGAGTGCAGTGGCGTGATCTCGGCTGACTGCAAGCTCCACCTCCTGGGTTCACACCATTCTCCTGCCACAGCCTCCTGAGTAGCTGGGACTACAGGCGCCCATCACTACGCCCGGCTAATTTTTTGTATTTTTAGTAGAGACAGGGTTTCACCATGTTAGCCAGGATGGTCTCGATCTCCTGACCACGTGATCCGCCCGCCTCGGCCTCCCAAAGTGCTGGGATTACAGGCGTGAGCCACCACGCCTGGCCTGCATGCTTGATTGTGAGTGCCAAACTAATGTTTACATAAAGATCAAAATACAGATATATATTGCGGTAAACTTATTTGACTTCAAAAATTGAAAAAATAATTCATTGGGCATAACAAGACGAAAAAGATGAGCCCAGCCTTTGGTCTTTCAAGAGAATTATGTAGAGCAGAAATAGAAGAAATTGGAGCAATGCATACAATAGGAGAGTACATAGCTATTTTAAAAATGTAGCAACGCTAACAGGAGTGATCTGGAATGTATTTTAAGTAAAGATATATTTTAAGTAAAAAACAGTAGGATGCTATTTTGTATGCACATCTTAGGATGCATTTTAAAAGCTGACGATGGACATTGTCTCTGGGCAGAGGTACGAAGGATACCTGAATCAATCAATCCATTTTTTTCTCTCTTCCTTTCTCTCTCTCTTTTATTTTTAACTGTCGCCTGTACTATTAAAATTAAAAAGAACGAAAAGAAATAAAATAGACTTGTTTATTCAAGAAAAATTCTTTACTGGAGGCTGGAAATTCACCATTAGTTTTGGTCTATGATTTTATTCACTGCTTTTCATTTTAAGATGTAAATACTTGTATGCCAGGTAGTACATTTTAAGTCCCTTGGGAGAGAAGGAACATTCCATTCTTTTGTTTTTCTTCAAAATACTTTTATCAGAGAAGATGCTCAATACACCCTGATTGTCTGGACGTTGACTAAGCTAAAATGAAGCAACAAAAGAGGATGCTTGCAGTGATTCATAGTGTTGCTTGAGTATGCAAATCGTAGCAGATTGTCATCGTTGCTCCTTAAACCCATTTAGCAAAATGAGACAGGGAATTGAGAATTGGAAATAAAACTATCACTTCTAAGCCATTTCCTACTCTTCTTTAAGAACTATATTTTTTCTTTTTGGCTAGGAAGATATATCTCTGCCTATGAATGGTTGTCTAGAATCATATTAACCTCTCAGGCTTTATCGAGAGCTAAATATACTAATGGCAAGAGTTGCTCCATGTTAATTGTGTTTAGGCTGAACCCTTGATAGACTGTTTTGATCGTTGATCTGTATTAGGACATTGGACGAATGAGGTCCCAAGGTTCCTCTGAGCTCTGATCCATTCTGAGCTGATCTCCTAAAGTCTGACTCATACTTCAGTTATTTCCAGGTTCTTTAGGACAAAGCTCACTGTAACCTCTATGTTGCCACTACCAACACAAACGTTAAGAACAGAAAAAAGCTTTAATAGGAGGCAGGTGATAAATATAATTGGATGCCCTAGTATCTCTGATACAATCACATACTCTCTCATCTGTTAGCATGGCACTTTACAGCTGTGATTTAACCCACGCAAGCCTGTATAAGGTACCTAGTTAGATTCATTAGAAGCTCCAAATAAATGACTGAGTCTTCATCAGAATTATTGTTAGGTTTTGCCTCAGCTGCCAGACCTCTATTAAACAAATAAACCTTTCTTTTACTGGTTTGATTTCTTTGGTTGCTGTATCTCTTTGAGTAATGTTCACGCAAGTGATGGTTAGAGATGAGTGAATAGTTGCATCTAAACTGTCTCCTGGAATGGCAATGCTTGCAGCCTGCCTTGTTAAAAGAGCTTGCTTGATTCTCTCCCAGCTGTTGTTCAAAATAGGGCTCTGTGGAATCATTAGAAAAAGAAGTTCCTTGACATGCTTATATGAATAAATATCCTGCCTGCCCTTAACTCCTGTTTTCCCATCTGAGTCCACTAGTAAAGATCTACCAGTTGATCTTAATTGCTATGAGAGAGAGAAGGACGGCCTCAAGGGTCACCAACGTTTCCTACCATAGAGGATTCTAAAGAATCAAGTCATAGGATCCTACCATAGGATGCCAAAAGGAAGCCAAGGCGACCAAGTCTAAGAACGTCTAAACAAGTATCCTGTTAGGGGTGTGCTATAGTGTATATTTTTATGGATGAAAATGACTCATTGCACAAACTGTTCCTACTAAATATTACCTTTCCTCGGAGTGAAAAAATAGACAACTTTCTTAGCTCATAATCTAAATTAGTAGGTACTCCACCATGTTTTATCAGCCTCAGGTCAAAGCATTATTGCTGGACTGTGGCTATTAATATGTGGCTGTGGCCACATCTGAAGTGTTTTCTTAATAATCCACTTTTCCCCCAACCAGAGCTGAACAGGGGCCAGCTATATTCAGGCTTTATGGGGAGGGATGTCTCCAAAATTGCTTTGCTGAACCAGCCTTGGCTTGCTTGTGGTATTTGATGCCATAAGTGCACTTATAGTACACTGACTGTTCTGACCCTGTTCCTCATTTCTGTCAGTTAAACCAAGTAGCTATTCAGATAATATAGAATCATGTTTACTCTACCAAAGTTAATTTGAATAATCAGTCCGTCCTGGATAAGGAAATATCTCGTCAGTACTCTGGTCGTGATGTTATCTGAAAGCACATGTTTAAAAGGGAGATGTTACAGATAATTCAGTCTAATTTCTCAGGCTGATATGAACCAGGGAAAACCTAGATTTGCAGTTTTCCATAGTCAATCATGAGATTGGGAGGAAACACTGAGTGTAACCACAGGGCATTTCCATGGGCCGTAATGAGGTTTTACTAGTAATATAATTGTATTCATTTTAAACCTGGAAAAGTCGTGAATAGTGAACCAGTTCTACTCTTCCATTAAAAATTTGTTTTAACTTAATTTGTGTGTTTTCCACTTAAATACATTAGAGTTTACTTTTCCTGCCTCAGCTAATGTCATAATTATATCTGCATAGATTATATTATTTTTCTTCATCTGCACAATTCAGATAGGCATCAGTGTTATAAGATCGTAATAAATAATATTAGTTCCATGTACATAGTTGTGTTAGAGTGGCAGCATTACTATAAATTACTTTAAAAATTCTTTTATTTGTATAATCTTTGCCTCTTCAAAAAATTCTGGGCATATTTAGGTTTAACTAATCTTTTACCAGTTAGGTGTCTGGTTAATACTACCAATTAGGTGTCTAGTTAATATCACTGTTCTCTTTTTACATATCCAACAAAAAATTTATTGAGTGACTACCAAGTACTAGTACCAGTACAAATGCTGAAAATATAAAGATGACAAAGATGTGGTGGGAACTTTTCTATCTGGATAGATGTAGGAAGTACAAGAGACTATCACTTCCACTCTAACCTTAATATCAAGCCAGACACTCTACAGCATTGTAACATCTCAAACCCATCAGAGCTGAGTATGCAAAAAGAGACAATTAACTAATTTCCAGAAAGTGGCAAGACATTTCCATGAGAGAAGAGATCCACAGTTGCTTTTATTCTTGGTGGACTAATAGGAGAAGAGAAACCAGCCCAACTTTTGGTGGCTGCATATGAGCTGGCAGGAAGGATTAGAATCTCAAGGAGCTCCAGACACAAAAGTCTGCATCTGTCTGCCCACTCTTTTCCAGGGACCTTCACTAAATGCACAGGGTACAGTGCCAAATGATGGAATCAGAGCAGCTTTGCTGAACTAATTTACCCTGAGATATGAGGGACTTTTTTTAAGGACAAGGCAGAGGGCTGCTGAAGTCTAGGGGTAGAGCAGGAGAGAGGAAAGAAATCCCTTTGAGGCACTTTAGGCCTCACCAAGTACACTGCAGAAGTCCTATGAGGGCTAGAGTTGGGCAGGAAAGCTGAGAATAATTCCACCAAAGTAATATTGGTCTTCACAGAACACACCATAGAGACCCTAAAGGCTGGCAGTCAGACAGTAATGCTAAGAGAGAGCACTACTTGGAGGCACACAAAGCTAGAAGTGGTACTAGACCAAAACCAAGCAAACAAACAAAACAAACAAATGAACAAAAAACAATTCCCTGAGAACTCCATCTCCCTCAAAAAAAAAAGCTAACAGATGGACTGACAAGTAGATAGAGATTTCCAGAGCTTAGAAGTTTGGTGGCTGGGCTGTTAAGGAGAACAATATTTTCAGAGTCTTGACAATGTGCAGATACCCAATCTTGCTAAAGAGAAAGTCCTATCATGTCTTCAAACTTATAGTTAGTGGTCAACTGAATCTAACTAAAGCTAGACTAAGTTCAGACACATCTCAGCTGCAGATTAGCTAACTCAGCCTTGAGAGAAGAAGGAGTGTATCCTTTGGGGGGGGGGGTTCATTATTATTTACTTTAGTCTGTAATAATACTTTACCTATAATATCTGAACCACAATAAAAATTGATGAATTATGTGAAGAAACATAAAGTCAAGAGAGAAAATAGTCAACAGAAGCAGACCAAGGAATGGACCAGATGGAATTATTGGACAGATTACACACACACAGACACACACACATACATATGTATATATGTTAAAGATCAGCAGAAAAATGGACAATGAAAAAGTGAAAAAGTAAAGGAAATCTTAGAGAGATAGAAATGATAGAGAATCAAACAGCTGTGCTGGAAAAAAAAGTACAATATCAGAAATGGAGAATTTTTTTGATGGGTTTAATAGCAAACATGGCATAGCAGAGGAAGGGATTAGTAAATTTGAACAAGTGAATAGAAATTATCCAATTTGCAAAATAGAGAGGAAAAGAGTGAAAAAATGAAAAAGGCTACTTGAGACCTGTGGATAATATCAAATTATCTAATCACAGGTAACTGGAGTCTAGAAGAGAGGAAAATGGGAGTTGAGAAGAAAGAAATATTTGGAGAGATATTAAACTTAAAGACCTCAACCACTGGAAAAACAGCTAGAGGGAGCCTGGATACAGATGGGGCTAGGAACTTCTTTTCAGATTGGCTGTTCAAGGAAAGCACATATGAGATGCCATAATTTGAGCAGAAATCAAAAGCCATGACAAAATATAGTTGAAGGCACTCTAGGCTTAAGAAACAAGTGTAAAAGCCCTAAATTGGTAGTAATCCTGGCATGTTTGAGGACAGCAGGAAGCTGGGGAGGGGGAAGCTGTAGGAAATAATTTGGGGAGGTCTGCAGGAGTGAGATCATATGTGACCTTGGGTAGGCCATTATAAGAAATTCTAGTAGTCAGGCCGGGCACAGTGGCTCACGCCTGTAATCCCAGCACTTTGGGAGGCCGAGGTGGGTGGATCACGAGGTCAGGAGATCAAGACCACCCTGGCTAACACGGTGAAACCCCATCTCTACTAAAAATACAAAAAATTAGCCAGGCGTGGTGGCGGGTGCCTGTAGTCCCAGCTACTTGGAAGGCTGAGGCAGGAGAATGGCGTGAACCCGGGAGGCGGAGGTTGCAGTGAGCTGAGATTGCGCCACTGCACTCCAGCCTGTGCGACAGAGTGAGACTCCATCTCAAAAAATAAAAATAAAAAAAAAAAAAAAGAAATTCTAGTAGTCAGGGTTCTCCAGAGAAACAGAACCAATAGTGTGTCTACACACACACACACACACACACACACACACACACACACACACACACACGTTATAAAGATTTGGCTTGTGTGATTGTGGAGGTTAAGTCCCATAATCTGCTATCTGCAAGCTGGAGGCCAGGGAAGTTGGTGGTGTAATTAGTCTGATTCCAGAGTCCTGAGAACCAGAAATGATGCTGGTGTAAATCCCACTCCAAGGCCAATGTCCTAGCTCAAGCACTCCAGCAGAGAGAGAATCCTTACTTCTTCCACCTTTCTGTTCTGTTCAGGCCCTCAACAGGTTGGATAAGCCACACCCACAGTGGGATGGGCAGTCTGCTTTACTCAGTCCACCATTCAAATGCTAATTTCTTCCAGAAAGCCTCTCACAGACACACCCAAAAATAATGTTTAACCAGATACCTGGGCACTCCTGTGAAACAGTCAAGTTGACATGTAAAATGAACCGTCACAGAAGTGTTGGAGGAATCCTGCTATGGGAGGCCACTGGAAAGCCTTAATGCATTTAATGGGAATTGTTTGAAGTATGGAGCATCCAGATAAATTTTCACATTTGATTTCCTTTTGTAAAAAAATGTTGAGGCATAAAAATTTCAGTTCAGTACAGATTTTTTACTGGTCCTCATGTGACACCAGTCTCCCCCGTCAAGTATGTCAGGAAACTTGGAGGTCATTCTTGGGTGAGGATCATATTACATAATACTTTAAGGGTGATAAGATCTGTTCAAGATTTTGAACTGTTTAGCTCCACATTATAAAGGAGACGTTTTAGCCACGTAAGTTCCCGCCAATAGAAAATACTCAGGTTCACATTCCACACAGGTCGGCAATGATGAATGCTTTCGCCACTGCAGCGATACTTAAAGTAGGGCCCGTGCAGAAATTAAAAGGGATGGGACCTGGAATCCCAGCACTTTGGGAGGCTGAGACGGGCGGATCACGAGGTCAGGAGATTGAGACCATCCTGGCTAACACGGTGAAACCCCATCTCTACTAAAAATACAAAAAATTAGCGGGCGTGGTGGTGGGCTCCTGTAGCCCCAGCTACTGGGGAGGCTGAGGCAGGAGAATGGTGTGAACCCGGGAGGCGGAACTTGCAGTGAACCAAGATGGCGCCAACTGGACTCCAGCCTGGGCGACAGAGCGAGACTCCGTCTCAAGAAAAAAAAAAAGGGGGGGGGGTTTATTTCTATGAACACTGCTTCATAGTCATTCTACATGTCAGGTCCTCTGTGTTTCTCATGACATAGGGCAACAACCTCCCCTGGAGAGAGAAAAGAAAACTTACTAGAGCTCCAGTTGGTGCTTATTTTCTTTAAACGAAGACAGATACTTGATCTCTGAATTACAAGTACAATTTCCAAGGACATCAGGATGGAGAAAACCGCTTCAGTTTTTGTGTCAGCCATGGGAATATGGCTTAAATTTTGTCTTGTTAAAAAAAGAAGTTTAAGTAAGTAGATTTAAGATAAAAGTTTTATCCTTGTAGGATTTGCAATGCAAGGAACAAAATGACCTCAAGATCATTAAAAGAGAGTATTTCTGCATCCCAAGGTAAATGGAAGGAATGTATTTCTATTGGTTCTTGGGTCCAATTTTAAAATATAGTGTTAGTCAGACCAAGGGCATGAGCTTGCTTGTATCCTAGACCGAGAGCCCCACTCCACCTGGACTAACTGAAGTTCAATAGGAATTGGCCCCATGGGAGAGGAAAAGCCACTCTAAGCTTAGGATTAGTGAGAGGATCAGGGATGCAGGGGCCAGCATTGATAAATGGAGCCAGTGGAGGCGGGCAGAGCTGGCACCAGGTCTTTCAGAGGGGTGAGGCTGAAGCAGAGTTCTAAAGGAAAAGAGGTGGATTAACTAAGATTTTGTGATACTCAAGGTCCCTGAGTTTATTCTTAAAAACATATATCTGCTCCTGTGCTATCCAACTCATTTCACTTACCAGTAGAGGCACTGCCAAAAGTAATGAGGTTCAGGAAGAGTGAGCTACAGTTATTTCAGCCTCATAATGCCCTATGTTTGCCAACCAATTTTGAGTGCACAGTCCTAAATGGCTACACTATGTACAATGCTGAAGGACTTGCTCTTGTGTTGTTCAGACAGCAGTGTACAATTACACTTGAAAATTCATAGATTAGGTTGTGGAAAACCAATACATCGAATTGAGAATACCTATGATGCATTTAGTTAGAGGAAATGTATTTATGGTTCAAAGAGTAGCAGATCGCCCACTCATCAGTGGAATCACCTTTCTTTCTTTTTCGATTTCTTCCCTTTTCAATTTGTCTCCTTCTTTTTCAATTTTCCTGACTTAATCTTTTCTCATCCCTTTTCCCTGCTTTCTAAATCTTACCAGGAGCATATGGACACACAAGCTGAATGCACACTTCTGGCAGTTATTCTTGGAAAATGCTTTGGCAAACTGTGTGATGATTGTATTACTGCTCTTACCACCTGGAAGAATCTATTATGATAAAAACATGTGATTGGGCAGGAGGCCTTGCTCGAGGGCCCTCTGGGATGGACGGAACGTGGGCTTGAACCCAGTGCTCTTCCAGGTTTATTTTTACTTGCTGGCATGCTCCAGGTATTGCTGTAGGCATCCGCCAGGAGGCGTCTACCCACGTTTCCACAAAAGGGAGCCTTGGACTAGAGCTTATGCCACCTCCACAGCCCTCCTATCGTGTTCAGCCAAGGCGTCTAGGCTGGTTACAAAAGAGATTTTTTTAAAAAGAGACCCACGAGTCTGTCAACTCTTCCATACTTCTTAAACTGTTAAAACTAATCTGGGAGCATGAGATAGTTGATCTGAGTTGGGAAAAGAAAAAATGATATAAGTGATCAATATCACTCTGTATAATTAATCAGAATCTCTAGAATAACTACTGAAGAAATTCATTATGCACGTACTAAACCAATAAATGAGGAATCACATTTGTAAAGTAACAGTACAGGTTTCTAGTTAAACATGGGGCATTGGGCATGTGGCTTCTCTCTGCCCCCTTCCACAAGTCCATGTAAATGCCAGTAAAAGACAGAAAAGACAAGGTCAATAGTGAAGAGGTGAGGAGTCAGGAGTGGGCTAGAGGTGTCCACACATTTTTGGAATATGTAGGGGTTGGAGGAGTGGAGACTGATCCAGCGGAGGGACAAAGCTGAACTCAGTGTCTGCAGGTATCATTGAGCAGCAACTGTTAGAGTCCCATAATGACACATGACTGGGGGCTCTAGATACCACAGAGAGCAAGGATAACACGAGGCAAAATTGCAAGAAAATCTTCACATGTGGCATTTACATCCCCACTTTCCCTCTCGTATCTCCTAGCTTCAGGAAACCACACCTACCCTTTGCTTCTAGAAGAGTTTAGAACTTTGTAACTGGAGAAACAGTTGGAAGAACTCAGACCTCAGGGAGCCCAAGCACCCTGCAGGGCAGTAGCCCACCCCAGGGAACATTGGCCCATATCTAGAGACATTTTTCATTGGCACAACTTGGGGGGTGCTCCTGGCGTGTAGTGGGTAGAGGCCAGAGATCTGCTAAACGTCCTACGATGCACCGAACAGTCTCCCACAGGGCTAGAGCCCAGGATGCCAATAGTGCCGAGGTTGAGAAACCCTGTTCTAGGGTGAAGAGACAGACAGGGCTGAATGCAGGAGAGGAAGCTGAAGTCTACGCACTGAATTATGGAAGCCTCAGCTCTCTTCCTGGCTCTGCTCCCAGAATGCTGAATGGCAGGTGGGCTTGGGCAGTTCTTTTCCACCAGAAAGCAGAAAAGTCCTCTAGACAGTGACTTTGGGTGTGTCCCAATAAAAAAGCTCTCACTGCCCAGTCATCCAACCTTAAGGTCCACCAGCTAGCAAGACCCCTAGTGTGCTCAACGGTCCGGTCAGCTTTTTAATGGCTTTGTTTTAAACACGAATGACAAGAAATACAAATGTTTTAGAAACATTCTAGAATCAGACATTTTAGAACAACCTCTAAAAGGAAAGGCATATTCTAAAATAAACCAACTGAAGTTAAATTTTCAGAAGTGTAAACAGGGAAATTAAAAAGTATAGAAAAAAAGAATGCTTCAAAAACCTCGTAGTTAATATCCTTGGAGAGATAACGGAAGATTCCATTGATTCTATGCTAAAGAGAGAAATCAGAGGACAGGATAGTGCTATGTGAAATTAAAAATATGTGTGCTAAAAAAATACATAGAAGAATTTAACAATAAAGTTGAAATTGCCTGGAGAGTAAAATAAAAGGCAAAGAAATTGATGAGAGTAGAGAAAAGATGTGAAAATGGGGGGCTCTAGCATGTGATCACTGGAAGTTCTACGTATAGAGAGAGATAATAAGGGGGAGAAATCAGTGGAAACAATGCAAGAATAATTCCTCAAACCAAAGAATATGCACTTCCAGAGGGAAAGGTCTGCCAAGTAGCCAGCCCCAAAAATTGAAAGAGAGAGAAAAAAAGGCAAATTATTGTGAATTTTTAGAACATCGAAGAGAAAAAATAAGTCCAAACAAAGCACTGGAAATAGGAATGGGCTCCAGCTTCTCTGCAGCATCCTGGTACCCTAGAAGGCAACGGAGTAGTCCCTTCGGAGTCCTGAAGAGCAAAGGAGTAATCAGGTGCAGTCATCTAAAGTAGGATTCTACACTTACTCAGACCCCTCCATGCAAGGTGAGGAAGGAACAAAGACATCTCAGGCAGCCAGGAGCACCTAAATCTACCTTGTATGCATCCTTTTTTGAGGAAGACGCTGGGAAGTGGGAGAAACTGAGAGAGACGGAGCTAGGATCCTGAAGTAAGACACCCAATCTCACGGCACATCTGAGGACAGGTACAGACCACCTGTGGTTAGAAGGCAGAGGTCTCCAGGAAAGAAAAATGAATCTGAATGATTTCCGGATTTGTAGGACTAGTAAAGCACTGGTTTTAACTCGGGCAGACCCAGACTTTACTTGCTTAATCACGGTACATACAGAGGCCAAATGTCTGAATTATAGGATTGGTCTTGTAAGTACAATCCTAGATCCAGAATCCGAGGAGGTTTTAGGGAAAGGAAGAAAAAGAATTTGCCTTGATTTTTTTGTCACATTTTTGTATCCAAAAGGAAAATTTACACTCTGTAAAATAAAACTGCATTCTTCACTAGGTTCCTGAAGTTTCTATCCAATGCTTAGCAAGTTTTAGGTGTGCCACAAGTAAATGTTAGTTGAATGAATGAATATTTCAAATATGGATCTTAGTCCTACAAAGTGTGGAAGACTACGGAAGACCTCCCAGAAATCTTTATAAAATACATTGAGGAAAGGTAATACAAGTGGAATAGGCCTGGCCCCAAATGGAAAAGCTCAAGCAGTGAATGTGTTCTATAGAGACTAAGAACTGGATAGAGATTTTAAATTAAAGGAAATAGAATGGAGAGATTTAGCCAATTATGGAACCAAGATAATCCTGATAAAAGCCACTTTCAAAAATTAAAGAATGGAATAAGTGTGTGATCTTGGCAATACCGAACTCCATGATCTTAGGGGGGTTAGCTAACAGATTTAATGAGGCACCCAATTATTTTGAAAATCACAAAAACCTGGCATGATGCCAGAGCTACACATAGAAGCTGCAAAATAGTTTTAAAAATAGGTGAATAACAGTCTTGAAAATTTGGTGTTAATCCTTGGAAAAATAACATGATTAAAATGAGATGAAAATGGCAAGTGGCCCTCGTTCTGATTTTTTTGTGACTCACAATTCCCCTTGAGCTCTTCTAAAACTTCCTGGACAGATCAGCTCTATTCAGCCTCTGGAAACAAGTCTGTCTTGAATGCTAAAAAGCAGGGAGGCCAGGCGCGGTGGCTTATGCCTGTAATCCCAGCACTTTGGGAGGCCGAGGTAGGTGGATCACCTGAGGTCGGGAGTTCGAGACCAGCCTGACCAACATGGAGAAACCCCATCTCTACTAAAAATACAAAATTAGCTGGGCATGGTGGTATATGCCTGTAATCCCAGCTACTCGGGAGGCTGAGGCAGGAGAATTGCTTGAACCCGGGAGGCGGAGGTTGCGTTGAGCCGAGATTGCGCCGTTGCATTCCAGCCTGGGCAACAAGAGCAAAACTCTGTCTAAAAAAAAAAAAAAAAAAAAAAAAAAGGACGAGGAAAAGGGCAGTAACTTGAGATCAGGGTGACTTGGCTGCTAATATTTTATCCCATGATTCAATCTGAGTAATCAAAGTTCTGTTTTTTTCCTTAGATTGAGCATCTATTGACTCATTTGTATCTGCCCTCTGTGGCTCAGTCTTTGTCTGGATAATTGGTCCAACTCCTTCCTTTAGTTTGCTTGTCTGACCTATGTAAACTTTGGAGCCCTGTCCCCAGCCCCAGCCGTCTTGCCTGGAGGCTGCATCCTGTGGTTAGATGTGGATCTCATAAGACTGCCTCTGGCTACCTACACCTCCTGTGGCTGTCCTCCACCTGCCTACAGAAAAACCTTCCTCTGTATCTTCTTGGTCTCTCTGTTGCCTTGCACTCACTTGGAGGCCATTTACCTTATTATTTTCTATATACTCAGAATCAACTGCGTGTGTCAAGTTGACCCATGAACAAGTTTGTTTTGATTGCCTTCTCTGCATCCCATTGGTTGAAGGAGGGAGGGATTATGGAGATGGCCGAGTAAATGGCACCTGCCGCTGGACAGATAACATTGACAGCAGTTTATTAATCACATACATTCACAGCCTACAGGAGGAGGCCACTGCAGGAACAGCCACACAAAGGCTGCACTTGGGAACACGGTGAACAATCAGGGGATGTGGGAGGTAGGCTTTGTAGTAACAAGAGGTTGAACCCTGGTTCCATGGGAGAATGTGACTGGCTTATTTGAATAACTCCATGGGCTGGAAGGGAACTGAAGGCCGCCACTCAGAGAAAAGCAGAAACTGGGCCTGCACTTCTTAATAAGGAGGGTTGTTTGGCTCCAGGATCTATGGGAGCCCCATGGAGGGGGAAACTTGCAGTTAGGCCGCTGGAGGATCTCCTGTTTTTTCCAAGATGTCAAGGCACATATCATATTGAGGCTTCATTTTAGGCCTTCATACCACAGGTCCTCCCTCTATCTCCTGACCTGTTGGTGTGTTTATGTCTGTCTCTTCCTTTTCTGCTCCAACCACTGCATTTAGCCTTCTATCTCTTACTGCATCATGGGGCAGAGTCAATCCACACCAACTGCACTGATCTATTTAGCATTAAAAGATCATGTAGCTTACTGGAGACTTCATAATTATTCACCTGAATACATTCATTTCATAGCTGAGGAAGCTGAGGTTATTGAATGCCCTGAGCCCAGTCACATAGCTAGTTATGAGCAGAAAGAGTGTTCTTGAAAACATGACGTTCAGGGTTTTTTATCAATACATAGAATTAATGTCTTTTTTTTTTCTTTGAGACAGGGTCTCACTCTGTTGCCCAGGCTGGAGTGCAGAGGCACTGTCTCAGCTCACTGCAACCTCCGCCTCCCAGGTTCAAGTGATCCTCCTGTTTCAGCCTCCAAGTAGCTGGGATTGCAGGTGCACGCCACCACAGCCAGCTAATTTTTGTATCTTTAGTAGAGATGGGCTTTCACCATGTTGGCCAGGCTGGTCTTGAACTCCTGACCTCAAATTATCTGCCCACCTTGGCCTCCCAAAGTGCTGGAATTACAGGCATGAGTCACTGCGCCTGGCCTAATGTCATATTTTTAAAAGGAGATATGTTCTTGTGAGAAATTTGTTCAAATTATTTGGAAATTTAAAAAATACTCAAACATAAGTTAGAATATTAATTGCTCAGTGAATAGTGCTATATACTGGATGAGGTTTTAAGAGCTCTAGTAAGTCAGGGTGGTGCACGGTGGTTACTATTAAGCAACATGAACAACTTCTGGATTATCAATTATTTCTTATAATTTGGAAATGACAGTGATTTCCCTACCTTCTATTTAAAACCACAGAGGCGCCATTTATTTGAATAATCACTGGCATGAAGTTCTGTGACTTCTGAGTAGTTCCTGCTGTGTTTCCAGGGATATAAGAGCACCCAGGCCTGGTTCCCTCTTTCTGGTCCCCAGAGTTTGCAATGTCAGGATATGCAACAATTTGGTAAATGTAAGGTTCATGAGGCCGGCATTTTGGACTCTTTTTTAAAAATTTGATTATTTTTAAAGTTGACACATTGTAATTGTACATATTTATGGGATCCAATTTGATGTTTTCATGCATATAAATTGTGTATAATGATCAAGTCAGGGTACTTAGCATGTCTGTCACCTCATACATTTATCATTTATTATCTGCTATAACCTTAGTACTTTGCATATGCCAGGCACCCTGTAAATAAATGCCTGCTGAATAATGAATGCAATAAGTACTGGTTTCCACACAGGTCCACCTGTTGCCAAAATAAGCCAGAGAAGCTCCAGAGACGAGCCCTGTTGGTTTTATCCACCATGCTATAGTTGTACCCTTTGGAGCGACTGCAGTTCAAAATATAAGTTCCTAACCGGGCACTACATGTTCCCCAGAGACAGGGCTGTTGGCTGAAAGCAGATTGATGGAGTTGTAGGAAGTGTGCCCATTATAAGCTATTGATAATATTTTATTTTATATATATATATATTTTTCTTTTGAGATGGAGTCTGGCTCTGTCACCCAGGCTGGGGTGCAGTGGCGAGATCTCGGGTCACTGCAACCTCTACCTTCCGGTTTCAAGCAATTCTCCTGCCTCAGCCTCCTGAGTAGCTGGGATTACAGGTACATGCCACCATGCCCGGCTAATTTTTGTTTTTGTTTGTTTGTTTTGTTTTGAGACAGAGTTTTGCTCTTTCGCCCAGGCTGGAGTGCAGTGGTGTGATCTCGGCTCACTGCAACCTCAGCCTTCTGGTTTGAAGGGATTCTCTTGCCCTAGCCTCCAGAGTAGCTGGGATTACAGGTGTCCGCCACCATGCCTGGCTAATTTTTGTATTTTTAGTAGAGACGGCGTTTCACCATGTTGGCCAGGCTGCTCTCGAACTCCTGACCTCGTGATCCACCCGCCTCGGCCTCCCAAAGTGCTGGAATTACAGGCATGAATCACCACGCCTGGCTGATAATATTTTAAATAGATGAGGTATTGTGATATTTTCTTAGTGAAATGCAGGTAGAAACACCAAAAGCAGAGACTACCCGTAACCATGACTCTTTTGAAGAAGTGCAGTATCTCTGTTTAGAAATTGGGAAATAAACACTTAGGGAGTCTTCACAAAATTTTAAACTCTGCGATTTTATAATTATGTTGCTACGAACAATAGTAACAATGTGAGATGTGGCCACAATTCTGAACTATTGATGCAGAGGTTAAGCTAATTTTCCATTTTGCTTCAAAGCTCACAAACAAATCTCTCTTCCCACATAACTGTGCATTAAGGACAGGTGAAACAACTTTCTCATGAGGCTTATTGAGATTGTTGATAGTGCCCATGAACTTCTGGCATCTTTTTTCTTGAAAGCTGTTGCTGCCTTGGATATGATGCTATGAAGATGAAATATTCCTTTACTTGATTGACAGTGAGATACTTTGCAATTCTCATCCAAATGTCACAGAATGCCTTGGTCCCCACCAGCTGAAATGGGACCCTACCTATTTTAAGAACTGCAACAATGGCGTATTAGCTGTAGAGACATGGATCTCTTCTGTAGCCTCTGCAGTATTTGGGACCCATACAGAGAGGCCTTCTTCTCTTCCTTGCCTGGCACACTGTGAATCGCCAAGACCTTGCAAGGGGGAATGGGGAATGGGGTAGGGTGGAACAGTCCCAGCCTTTCATGTGAGGGTCTGAAATTGAGACTTTGAGGACATACATATGAGTTGTGTCTTCCTGTTGATAAAAATTTCATTTCACTTAAAAAAATCCTTTTTTCTACCTGTTCTTAAAAAATGAACAAACAAAAAATCTGTTTTTCCTGGGCCACTCACAAAGTATATATGTAATACATATTTATTATTATTTTAATCTCAATCAGCAAATTTCCCCCATTTTTCTATCTACAACCAACCATAAAAAATCCGGGGAAATACATTTTTTATTTCTTGCTTTACTAATCATCATGGTTTTCTTCAGCTCTAGTATCACCAGATGAATATATATGGGTTTTTTGGTTAAAATTAACATTATGGCTCCTGATCCTTATTTAGCATCTGTCTTCTTGGTATGAAGGGGTAGAATATGATAGTAGGGCTGGAATGATTGGGGTGACTATCTAAATCATTGCCCTCATTTTTTTTTTTTTTTTTTTTTGAGACAGAGTCTCACCCTGTCGCCCAGGCTGGAGTGCAATGGCACGATCTCGGCTCACTGCAACCTCCACCTCCCGAGTTCAAGTGATTCCCCTGCCTCAGCCTCCCGAGTAGCTGAGACTACAGGCACGTGCCACCACACCGGGCTAATTTTCTTTTTTTTTTATTTTTTAGTAGAGACTGGGTTTCTCCCATGTTGGCCAGGATGGTCTCAGTCTCCTGACCTTGTGATCTACCTGCCTCGGCCTCCCAAAGTGTCATTGCCCTCATTTTTAAGAAGAGCAACTTAAAATGTAGCAAGAGCTGAAACTAGAGCACAGGGCTTCTAGTCCCAGCTGCATGCACTTCTGTTCCCAGCCGCATCCACTTACCAAGACACTCCGAGGCTACTGCTTCTGGGGATGACTTGAGGCACCAGCAGGGCCCTCTTCCCCAGTGCCTGTCCTAATCTGTGAGAACAGCAATCCTTTGAGGTTCGAAGAAGCCTTTTGTTAAAAACACTGCCTTTTGTTTGTTTTTTTTTGTTTGTTTTGTTTTGTTTTAATTTTTTTTTAATTATTATACTTTAAGTTTTAGGGTACATGTGCACATTGTGCAGGTTAGTTACATACGTATACATGTGCCATGCTGGTGTGCTGCACCCACTAACTCGTCATCTAGCATTAGGTATATCTCCCAATGCTATCCCTTCCCCCTCCCCCCACCCCACAACAGTCCCCAGAGTGTGATGTTCCTCTTCCTGTGTCCATGAAAAAACTGTCTTAGGGAGGAGTCTCACCTTAAGTCTGTTTTAACCAACTCCTTAGATATCTGCTAGCACCTTCCCAGGATTTAGCAGAATGAGACAAAGGATGGATTTGGGTTTTAGAGGCTAGAGCAGTAGGATGGAAAACATGGGCATTAGTGTGATATGCTCTTGCCATTCACAATTTTCTTTAATCTTCACAATAAGCATGTGTACTTGTAAAGTAGATAATATTACCCTTATAGTAAAGGTGAGTTCAAGATTCAGTGAAGGTAAATGCCTTATCCAAGGTCTACACACAAAAACTGAGAAACAAATATGTGAAAAAAAGCAACTGAATCACACCTTACTCTTTTTCCTTATCTTCACCTGAGCTAAATTTATTTAGAATTTTAAAGCACAAATTGGCTGCCCTGTGTAAAGCAGGTGTGCCAGTTTGAAGACAGGTATGGCTTTTTCATGTAATAGCAAGTATTTGATATACCCAATATAGTAAATGGAGGTGAGGTTACATTAAATGATGATTCAGCCACTGAGCAGGTATTTAGGGCTGCCTTGACTGTGCCCGACAGAAGCTAGGATCACAAGAATACTATTGAGGATCAGTCTCTATCTTCAAGTGACCTACTGTGTACTTGGGAGAGTTCCCTACGAGAAGCAATAAAGTAATTGATAGGACAATTGTGGCTTAGCCTGTGAGTGTTGTAGGAGCTCAAAGAAGAGTGAGATCAATAGAGACAGTGGTTAGAAGAGTTCCATGGTGAAGGCAAGACTTTCTGAGACGAAGCAGTAAGAATTTGGGTGGGTATAGGACAAATTCCATATGGATGGCAGACAGTGTGGTGTAGCTAAAGAATATAGGACTGGAAGGTAAATGACTTTCATTCATTCTGGTCTTGACGATTCAACAAATTAATTATGGGGATAAAAACCAACATTTTAATCTCTAGGCTAGATTCTGAAATGAAGAAATAAGCCTAGATGGTCACTAAGGTCCCTTTTACTACTAATATTTTATAATTTTAAACTGTGCCAATTAAGTATAGTGGCATCAGTTGAGGCTGGAACATGTCATGAGAACCAATGATGCAGTGACAGATGCAGGTGGCACAGGGACCTTGTGTCCTGCAGGCTTTGTCCTGGACATGTTCTTGAGCATCAAAACATATTGTTGTTGCTGTTAGATTGGTATTTTAATTATATATATATATATATATTTTTTTTTTTTTTTTTTGAGACGGAGTTTCGCTCTTGTTGTCCAGGCTGGAGTGCGATGGCGCAATCTCAGCTCACCGCAATCTCCATCTCCCAGGTTCTAGTGATTCTCCTGCCTTAGCCTCCCGAGTAGCTGAGATTACAGGCATGCACCACCACGCTTGACTAATTTTGTATTTTTAGTAGAGGGTTTCTCCATGTTGGTCAGGCTGGTCTCGAACTACCGATCTCAGGTGATCCACCCGCCTCAGCCTCCCAAAGTGCTGGGATTACAGGTGTGAGCCACTGCGCCTGGCCAGTAATACATAATTTGTTCCTAATTTTGTTCTTTGTGGTGTCTTTTTGGCCCTTATACTTATCATACCTTTATATGCCACACCCAAAGGTCCATTAACTAGTGAACTTCTTGAAGATAGGATAATGCCTAATCAATACCACGGCTAGTATAGTGCCACATTATTTGCTGCTTGATAAATATTTGCCAGAGAAAATTGAACGGATGTTCATGTGCTTGTCAATTTTTTGGAACATGAGAAAGTTGTAGTAGTATTTGAAATTGATGCTATTAACTGGAAGTATGGGGAGTGAGCGAAGAAGTGAAAGGTGGTCTTTCCATTGTGGGAAAGGGAGGGGCAGGAACTGGGGCGCATACCTGTATCTCTCTACAATTTTCCTGCTTGTGAAGTATGGCCCCCTGCTGTAATTGACATTGTTACACCAGTATTCCTAGTTATATGAAGAAATTTAAAAGCAAAGGTGTAACTTTTAGGCTGATTGTCTGTTGTCTTTGAAGCCTGCAGGATAATACTCTGTGAATTATCACGTTGCTAGGCAAAGTTCGTTGGCGTAGAAAAGTTTCCTTGTATTTTGCCTCCCGTAGAAGACCATCTGAATAGTTTTTCCCTCCTGAATTTTTGCTTGTTAAAATTCAGGCTTCAGTGATGTTCACAGAGTTTCTAGCCCAAATCAGTTCAATTAGAACCTGCAAGGGTGTCTGTTCCTTGTTAGGACTCTAAGTGGTCTGACTTGTGTGACCTTGGTCTTTACTAATAGAAGCATAGAATAAGAACAAGCTGTGGCCACCTGGGAAAGGATGTTACATTTTATGATTTCCTCCTTTTATCTACTTAATTCTGTTCCTTTAAAGACCTTGGTATGCGTGCATGACTCCTGAAAGCTTGATGTAGCTCCCAATAAATATGTAACCGAATTAATTGCTTTTGAAAAGGTCACCAGTAGCTTTAAACATTATAAATTATGAGATTCAATAAGTTCTGCCAATAAAAATCCCTCTATTACTTCTCGTTCCTGAAATGTGTAAGACCTTTAGTCTAGAATGGTTTTCTCATTTCTCTCCCATTCACGTCCCATGTCAATTTGTTTTATCTACATTAAGTCTAGGTCTCTTTCCTCATTTCCCCAGGGGAAATGGGTTTCACTGAGATTATTGAAGTGCTGCAATTAATTCCATTTCCATAAGAGAAGGGAAATCTTTCCAGCTTCCATAAATCTAAATGAATGTGATGAAATAAAAAAAGAAATAAACTTCTTGCCAATCCAGAATACTATATATAAGAATTATCAGAGATAGTCTCATTACATAGTCAATAGACTTTTCTTTACTCTGAGGTTTTCAGGAGAGCTAAGTTTTTAGGAGGTTGGAATTCATAGTGTCTACATACTATATTATAATACCTTTATACTATATGAGTATCTTTACATAATTTACATCATTCTACCTGCATTGTGTTATAGATTTTAAATCTTCAATGACAATAAAGGAACTATATAGTCTATGTCGTGTTTGGTCTTGTAGAGTGAAAAGTGAATTCTAATTCTAGCAAACACTTTCTGCATGAAATACAGTGAAGCATTTCAGTTCTCTGTGCCTCTGGTTCCTTATCTATGAGGCAATGTAGACCACATTTTTTTTCCTTTGTGTGTGCTTGCAAGGAGGGTAGGAGAATGAGAGGTGAGAAAAGAGAAGGTGGAGAAAGAATCTCCTTACCATTGGCCTTCTGAATTAAAACTTGATGTTTTACTCACACTTTGGACAGAATTTAATTCCCCAAAGGGAAATGTATTGTTTCCCCTTAAATTAGATAAAAACATTTTGGGCACAGTGTTGCAAATTTTTTCAAATTTTTATTTCATTGACTGGTTAATTTTGGCACAATCTAGGTTGGTTTAAGTTTTTTGGAAAGTATTCCTAAGTGTCTGTTAGGAGACAGTGATTTCTATGGTTTAAATGTTTATGTCCCTCCAAAATTTATGTTGAAACTTGATCCCCAATATGATAATATTAAGAAGTAGGGCCTTTAGGTGGTGAGTAGATCATGAAGGCCCTACCCTTATGAATGGCATTAATTTTCTTATAAAAGGGTTTGGGGGACTCTGTCAGAGAATACAGAAAGAGGTGACATCTATGAAGTAGAGATCATACCCTCAACAGACACTGAATCTGCTGGCACCTTGATCTCGGACTTCCCACCATCCAGGACTATGAGAAATAAGTTCCTGTTGCTTATAAATTATCCGGTTTCAGATACTTTGTTATAGCAGCCCAAATGGACTAAGACAGTAGTCTTAGAAAAGCAATGTGTGTGTGTATATATGTACACTGTATATATACACAATATATATAGTGTATACACACACACACATATATACACATATATATACAATATGTATATATAGATACACACACGTGTGTGTGTGTGTGTGTGTGTGTGTGTGTGTGTGTATTTCTAGTGGTAGTTTAAGAATAACTGGGGTCTTGGCCTACGGGAGAAGTTGACAAATATCCTTGCTATGGACTGAACATTTGTGCCTCCCCAAAACTCATGTGTTAAAATGAGATGATATTAAGAAGTAGGGTCTTTGGGAGGTAAATTGATCATGAGTGTGAAGCCCTCCTGGTTGGGATTAGTGCCCCTATAAGAAGAGACACAAGACCTTGTTCTCACTCCCTGTGCTCTCCACCACGTGAAGACACAGCGAGAATGCAGTCATTGGCCAGCTAGGAAGGGGCCCCTCACCACACACCAGATATGGCAACACCTTGATCTTGGATTTCCAGCCTTCAAAACTGTGAGACATAAATTTCTGTTGTGTCAGCCACCCAGTCTATGGTATTCTTGTTATGGCAACCTGACCTGAGTATGACAGTTGCTTGAAGAAATTGTAAATAAGTGACCAACAGGAATACCTCACAGTTATGGTGGATCCTCATCCTCAATGATTGACAGTGAAGTGTTTCTGTGGATATCAGCTGGTTGGTACTTTTCTGTGCAGGATCACTCTTTGAAATCATGCCAGGTGTTGACAAACATTTTTTTCAGAGCATAGTCTTTTTAATAATTTCCAAAAAGATCTTTTGAGAGGGAATTTAAATTTTTACAACCACCCAGAGCCTTTTAAAAAATGTATAATTTTAAATTATGCATAAATTTTAAAATATTGACACCCTAATTTTCTATATCCTCTTACATAAATAAGAAATTGATGGTTCAGTCTTGCTGAAATGAATTTGTTTTATTGGGGGAGGTGTGGCTAGAGAATTACAGAACAGGGATTCCCAATTAGTTAACTGGTATCTTAAAAGATCTTGAAACTTTCCCTCATCTATGTGCAGTTTTATTATTGTTCCAGATCTCTCTTCTTTTTAGTTTGTCATTTTCAAGGACTTCTCAGTCTTATTTCTTTCTTTACCGCTGGTGTCCCAAAATTTCCGGAAACATAGATTATTTTCATAAACATATTGTGGAGCCCCAGTCAGAATTTCTGGTTTCTCTTGCTAAGGGAATTACCTAAGTTCTCTTTGAAATGCATGTTTACTTAGTGAACACCCATTTGGGAGTTTTAGAAAAGCACATCGCGGTAGGAACCACCATATTTCCAGTCGAATATGAATTCAGAATTCTCTGAATTCCAGTTGAATACGAATGCAGAATTCAGAATTCCAGTTGCATATGAATGCAGAATTCTCTCCACATTTATCTAAAGAAGGAAGCACATTGCAGATCTCTCAGGAATCAAGCCCTGTCTGCTTCAACCAGGATGGTGGGCTCCCTAAATGCTGACAGCAGTTTCTCTTTACCCCCCTCACTTGGTTTAAATGTAGCAATTGTTGTCATTCTTGTGTTCCCTCAAGTTCAGGCCTGCTCATTTTTCTGTGTGAGCTTAGAATGCCTTTTGTTTAGGTAGGATTTCCTGTCATGGACAATCAGTTCCTAGAATTCTATTTGGTCCTGGTTAAACAACATTGTGTAAAAGCCATGGGTATCACTAACTACACCTGTCAATGATGAGTTGGAAGGATTTTAGGTGATGATTAATGCCAGTCTCTCTTCTATAAAACCTGGTTTCAGGATTGAAACATTATAGATAGGCTCTCATTCCCAGGAGAAGCTCAAAATACATTTATTTATACCTCATAAATTAGGACTCAGCTGATTCAGAACTGGCGATAGTCTGCTTGTACTATTTCACATTTATCACTCAGATGAATTAAAAAACAATAGTTGCCCACTAGTAATGACATAATCAGGATCAGAGAATGGTGTTCACTTATTTAAAAGAATAGTATGAACTTTAGCAAGCTAGTTTCTGAGATTATATATCTTCAGGGTTAGAAAGGACTTCAACAGTCATCTTCTATTCTCCATGAGGCCTATGTTTCTCCATCTGTAGAAGGATAGTTGGTTGGATGGGATACTTGCCCAGTTCTGAAATTCTGTGATGCTATGTAGTGGGTGTTTCAGCATAGAGTTGGTGACTTTTGGCATCAGCCTCAGGAATAAATTAAATATTTCTTGGGAAATGTCAGAAGTGTTGATATCTAGCACTTTCCAGGTGGTAAAATCCCAGACAATGTGGTTTTTACTATATCATTATAGATTTGCAATTTACTCAGTTAAACATTATTCTGAGAATAAATAGTTGACATCTTGTAACTTATTCATAAGAATTATACAATTGAAACCTCAAAAAAAATCTTTCTATGGACTGAATGTTTGTGTCTCCTCCAAAATTTATATGTTGAAACCGTTATCCCCGAGGTGATGTTATTTGGAGGTAAGACCTTTGGAAGGTAATTGAGTTTGGATGAGGTCATGGGATTAGTATCCTTAGAAGATGAAGGAACCAGAGCTCTTTGTCTGTCCAGCATGTGAGGGCACCACAAGAAGACGCCATTTGCAAACCAGGAAGAGCCATGATGGCACCTTGACCTTGGACTTTCCAGCCTCCAGAACCGTGAAAAATAAATTTTGTTGTTTAAGCCACCCAGTCTGTGGTATTCTAGCATCCCAATCTGACTAAATCACAGCTCAAGAAAATTTCTTCTCTGTGAATTCCATTGTTCACAAACATGACCTTGCCACATCTTCAAACTACTCCCATATTCTTCTAACCCCTTTACAGCATGGCTTCACCACTAATTTCTTTCTTTCTTTTTTTTTTTTTTTTTTGAGATGGAGTCTTGCTCTGTTGCCCAGGCTGGGTGCAGTGGCGCCATCTTGGCTCACTGCAAGCCCCACCTCCCGGGTTTGTGCCATTCTCCTGCCTCAGTCTTCCCAGTAGCTGGGACTACAGGCGCCCACCACTACATCCAACTAATTTTTTGTATTTTTAGTGGAGATGGTGTTTCATCGTGTTAGCCAGGATTTTACCACTAATTTCTTAACAGAATCTATCACCATCAAAACCAATAACCTCTGCCTACTGCTCTCCTCCTCAATTTCTTCACCACATTGAACACTGTCCTTCTAGAATGGGACATTCCATTCCTAGAATCATGATTTCTTAGTCTGTCTCTGACTGCTCTTTTTCTGTCTCTTTGACAGAAATAAGAAGAGCCTCCTCTACTTCCAGCTTCTAAATCATTAGTTGAATACCAGGGAAAAGGGAGGGGACTGTAAATCAGAAACCCTGGGGGAACTTTTCAACATTGTTCTCAAGCCCATGCAGCATGAGTCAGAATTATGGAAGGAGAGAAATGTGTGGTTGGCCCATGTGTACAGCTGACACAACGGTGGGCATAAAGTACCAAATAATAATTCTACTGCCTGCTGTCATTTAATGGAGGGTCAGAGGGAGAGCTATTTCATCGTTGCCTCTTGCACAGTTAGGGATCCATTTTCATTTCCACTTCAAGGAGGGAGTGACTCTTCCTGTCAAATGGAATTGAAATTCTCCCTTTTATCATCAGAATACTCCAAAGAAGCTTCATGTCACAGAGATCTATGGCCACCTGGGAGCCCTCAAGAAGGAAGAAGTGGGCACACGTTTACAGCAAACTACGTAGAATAAAACCCCACAGTATGGAGGTTTAAGCCAGACCAAAACCAGTCTTCTATCCCCACTGGCTTTTATTTCTCACCTCTCTTAGTGAGAAGACACATAAACAGACTGACATCATAATCTACTGCTTGTCTCCTACTAATAGCATGCTACATGTCGATAATCTGGGGAAATGATAATGGTTCTCATCCAATCTGTCAACAGTATTATGTGTCTTCATAAATTCTGGAGTTAAACTGCATAGGCATAGCATCAAGAATAGGGTAGAAACCTTCTTGATAGTTGATATGTGGCTGCTCAGACTAGGAAGAAAATATGTAATCACTGTAGAACTCTGTCTCAAGGCACACTTCTGACCTAGGGTGCTATGTATTACATTGGCTTTCCCCAAATATCTGGAAAGTCTAGCATCTTCAGAGGATGAGTACTGCTAACTTCTCAGCAAGACAGCAAATCTTAGAAGCAAGTCCGAGGATAAGGGGGGCAGTGTGCTTTGGGGAGATATGGATGACTAGATCTTCTGCCTCCAGGCCTGTGCAAAGCAACCTCCCCTTCCTTAAAAATGCACCACACTACTTCTGCCTAGAGGAGGTGAAAATGCCATAATACCTACCCGCAAAAGACTTACTCTTAATTTATTTGTAAAAGCTATGTGTGGTTGCATGTGGGTGGAGGGAGTCCTGAGGCTTAGCAACATTCAGGCAGGAGACCTGAGGATGGTCTCAAGGCCTCCTCTCCCTCTGAATTCTATGGTCCTCCAGGAAAAAGGGCATCACATCATAGAATTTCTCTACAGGTTACTTGGGAAACCGAGAATACACTGGGCTGTGTGTGACATGTTGCCCAAATATAGTGATGTTTCTCAAAGAAAGAAAACCACATGTATTTGTTGCAGGGTGTGGGAGGGTGTCAGCTCAGGGGCAAGGTGAGTTATTGAGAACTATGGGCTCTGGCTCATGGTAGTGAGTTCTTCTTTCATCATCTGTTTCAGTTGCTTTTACAGTTATCAAGAAAGAAAGTCAAGGTCCGGCGCTGTGGCTCACGCCTGTAATCCCAACACTTTGGGAGGCCAAGGCAGGTAGATCACCTGAGGTCAAGAGTTCAAGACCAGCCTGGTCAACATGGCGAAACCCCATCTCTACTAAAAATACAAACATTAGCCAGGAGTGGTGGTGGGCGCCTGTAATCCCAGCTACTTGGGAGGCTGAGGCAGGAGAATTGCTTGAACCTGGGAGGTGGAGGTTGCAGTGAGCCGAGGTCACACCATTGCACTCCAGCCTGGGTGACAGAGTGAGACTCTGTCTCAAAAAAAAAAAAGAAAAAGAAAGAAAGAAAAAGCCAAAAGCTGGCCTCTTCTTGGCCTCTGCTTATGAGGGACTATAAGTCACGCTTGGACTCCGAGGCTCCGCAGCCCCACCATGCAAATCTGTGTGTGGCTGCGGAGGGCTGTTTTACTCTTTACAGAGCTCCAAAGTGATTTACCTGAGAGTGGCAAAAGGATTTCCTTCAAATGATCTAAAAGTTTGGACCTTGAGTACACATTCTTGAAAAAATCCCAGCCAGGCGTGGTGGCTCACACCTGTAATCTCAGCAATTTGGGAGGCTGAGGTGGGCAGATCACCTGAGGTCAGGAGTTCAAGACCAGCCTGGTGAAGGTGATGAAACCCCGTCTCTACTAAAAGTACAAAAATTAGCTGGGCGTGGTGGCAAGCGCTTGTAATCCCAGCTGCTCGGGAGGTTGAGGCAGGAGAATTGCTTGAACCTGGGAGAAGGAGGTTGCAGTGAGCCAAGCTCGCGCCATTGCACTCCAGCCTGGGCAATCGAGCAGGACTCCATCTGGAAAAAAAAAAGAAAAGAAAGAAAGAAAAGAAAAAAGAAAAAATCCAAAGCACTTAACTGGTAGGACCTTCTTCACTCCAGGCAAACTTCAAGTGCTTAACTCTCACACTGCTTTCCTTCTTTACTTTTCTTCCTCACAATCATATTTTCTCTACAGTGAGTACATAATAGTAAGACATTTTGGGAGAGTTTCTTGTCTTGCTAAACTGCAACAATAAAGCAAGACATCTGAGCAATCATGTCTTTGAAGCCCGGGCTTCAAAGTTAAAGGCTTCAGGTACTTTTTCATTAGCACCAAACACAAAAATTAGTTAAAAGCATCCAGGAGTTAATTTGTATCTATGCCACTGGTAGTATTTTCTCAGTATCAAAATAGTTATTTGAATAATGCCTCCAAAATATTTTAAAAGTGTGTAGATACTTTCAAAAGGTTCACGATTTAATGCGAAAACAGAAGGTTTGAAAATATGCCGTGAAAGATGGCTTTGACCTGTTTTTATTTGGGATCAACAGATATCAGTTTCCATCAATTAAGGACACTTACTGAGCACCAATGCTAAGTGTTAGGGATTTAAAGATGAGCAAGGCATAGTCCCTACTTTTTAAATGAGCAGAGGAGACAAACACATAAATAACAAATACAGCAGAACCACTCACTATTCGGAGGGGCTTCCAGAGAGCCACAGGGCTTAGCCTTATCATCTGTTGAACTTCTTATGGTACCAATATTTCTTGGTTTATACAGGTTTTCTCCTGTTTAGTTATCAGATTTTATATTTGTTACTTGACAAATGACAGGAACCATTGACAGGTGTGCAAACACTCCTTAAACAGTCATTTGTCAAGAGGCCTAGTGCAATAAAGAATAAAGGCACAGTGCTTACCTGAGTATGGATGACTCATGCAAGCGAAAGGCCTGCAGACCCAATAGGAGGAGTAAGAGAGAAAGGCATGGCCTGTGCTATTTTCCCTGGTATTCTTCTGCAATCAACAACATTTATTCTCACATTTTAAAGTGCTTTTGTTACTTTGCAGAAGGTGAGTGTCCAAAAAAAAAAAAATCCCACAATATTAACAGGTTTACATTGGCGACTCCTAGTATTTATTCAGGATGCTGTTTTGCAGTTCATAAGCTGCAAATGGAATAGTATAAATGAAGAATCGATTACACAATTGAACCATAAATGCTTGTGCCCTGTTTCACTAGTGTAAGATTTAAGTTTACTCTGATTCCTCCCCCTCGATAAAATTCTCTGTCTTTCCTTTTAAAAATGATTTAGATATTAAATATTAAATAGAAAAGGATATACTAAAATACATATATGCTGTATAGAATAACACTTTGATAACATTCTGTGTACTCACCATCAAGATTAAGAAATACAACTTTGTGGCCCTCCCAAGGTTATTGCTTTCCCCATCCTGTAAAAAGCTCATTATGAATTTTATTATGAACTTTGTATTTATAATTTCCTAATTCTTCTGTATAGTCTTAACACATATATTTGCTTTCTCAAACAACATGTGATTGGTTTTACATATTTCTTAATGTAATATTGATAGGATAATACTATATATATTCCTTTTTTAAAATGTAACTGTTATGTTTATGAGTCAATTCATTGTTAACTGCCACATGAAATTCCAAAATTTTTTTCTGTATAAATATGCCACCATTTTTCTATCTTCTCAAGTGATAAGGAAAATGTTCTGGTGTCTTTCTGTTACAAGCAGCAGTACTAGAAGCATCCTTGTGTATATTTCCTTGTTCACTTGTCCAAGAGTTTCTAAGACATACTTAGAAAGAGATTGCTAGATCATAATGAATGCATATGTTCAGAAGAGGTGATATGATTAGTATGTCAGTGCTCCCCCAAAAGATCTATAGATTCATTGCAATCTCAATTGAAATCTCAGCAGGCTTTTTCGTAGAACCTGACAAATTGATTATAAAATTTATATGGAAATGAAAAAGGTCTGGAATTGCCAAAATAATTTTGAAAACAGACGTCAAAGTTAAGGAATTTATACTACTGATTTCAGGACTTATTGTAAAGTAAGCAAAACAGTGTAGTATTGGCATAAAAATAGACCAATATTTCAAGGGAACAGTAGTCTAGAAATAGATGACATATATGAGCAATGACTTTTGACAAAATGCTAGGACAATTCAATGGGGAAAGGATAAATTAGGTATAGTCAAATGCCAAAAAAAAAAAAATCTTGACCTTTACCATAAACCACATACAAAAATTGACTCAAAGTGAATCATATAGTGAAAATCGAAACCTGAAACTATAAAACTATAGAAGAAAATCTTAGAGTCCTTAGGTTTCACAAAGTTTTCCTGCATGCAACATGAAAAGCACAATCTATAAACCAAAAAAAATCAATAAGTTATACCTCACGAAAATTAGAAACTTTTGCTCTGTGGAAGACCCTGTGAAGAGGATGAAAAGACAAGATATAGATTGGGAGAAAATCTTTTCAAAATACATATCCAACAAAGCACTTGTATATAGACTATACAAATGACAACACAATTTAGTTAAAAACAGGGCGAAATGTTTTCAGACAAATATGAAATCCAGTGAGCGAAGAGGAAAAAATAATCTGTACAACCAAGAAATACTGGTAGCAAGTTCGTCGAATGATAAGCTTGAGCCTTGTGGCCATGTTAAAGGTCCTCTGAATAGTGAGAGGTTTTGCTGTATTTATTACTTACATGTCTGCCTTCTCCACTCATCCGAAAAGGAGGGATATGCCTTGCTCGTGTTTGAATCCCTAACATTTAGTATTGGTGCTCAAAGTAGATTGTGACACTTTAAGGATGCATATGTTCACTCTAGGAATGAATTTAAAAATACAAAGAGATGTAGCTTAAAATGCAGTGGAGGAGATAGAAGAAATTTTAAAAAAAATACTGCTTCACACAAAAGAACACAGGAAATGAGGAAGAGATAAGGGACAAAGTAACGAAGATCAGAGATGCCAAATATTAAAAAAGCCAGCAAGATGGGAGACTGAACCACAGTCATATCAATACTTACATTAAATGTAAACGACCAAAATATATTTTTCCAAAAGGCAGAGATTATTTGATTATATATATATGTATATATATATACATATGTATGTATGTATATATACATATATATACGTATATATATATATGTATATATATCTACAACAGGACCCAGCCATAGGATTCTGCACATATATAATTTAAATATAAAGATGCACAGCAATTAAAAAATTGAAAGTAAATTCATGGAAAAATACACATCATTGCAAACACTAACCACAAGAAGGTGCACATGGTTGTATAAATATCAAAATAGGCTTCAAGACAAGAAGTCTTATTAGACATAAAAAGGGTAAAATCATAATGATTCGCAATCCTAAATGTTTATGCACCTAATAACATACCTTCAGTATCCATGAAGCAAAAAGTGACAGAAAGGGAGAAAGATATACCTTCACAAAGATATTTGGACATTTTAACATTCTTCTCTCAGTAATTTACAGAACAAGTGATGGACCATTAGTGAAGATACAGAAAACTCAAGAAACACTATCCATCAGCTTGACCATATAGAGAGTTATTTACATCATCCAATTACTGCAGATTACATACTCATTTTATGTGTACGTGAAGCATTTATCAGGAAAGCCTACATGCTGGGTCATAAAACAAATCTACCAATACAAGACATTAATACATTCATTTTTAATTCCATCATGAGGACATATATCTTATAATTATTTTCTTAATCTTTCTAAGAGTATTTAGAGATTTAGCATCACTATACCTATTTTTTTTTTTAGTTGAGAAAAGGAACCTTGGTTAGTCCCCAGGTTATTCTAGTTAAATCCAATCTGCATCTCCTTGGTGGCCATGCATACCACCTGTATGATTGCATTGCATTAAGAAAGTTGTTACAAAGCCTTACTACCCTTTGACCCTCCGTGGCTAGTTATCCCTGGCATTATTGGTAAAGAACAACAGCATGCAACCATCTCTTTCAACCTGTGGGGGAAAGAGAGATCAGACTCCCCTCAGTCTCTCGTCTCCACCTTGCAAGAAATACCCACAGGTGTGGAGCGGCAGGCCCCCTTCATCAACCAAATAATTTACATACACAGAACTACTTTCTTCCTACGATTTCAACTCCAGGCTCATTTAAAAGCCATTACTTCCAAATAATAATAGCATTGTAATTCACAATGTGTAAATGAGGAAGTAGAACTTGGTGCTACTGTAAAACCAATCGAGTTATTCAAATTAAAGGCTTGATTCAAGGATACCCTTATTCTTTCGTTTGTAAATAATTATTAAGTCTTTCTGACATGATAGGTCCTTGTTTTGAAAGAGCTTATAGCCTACAGAAGGAGACAGACAAATGTGCCAGGTGTGTCTCATTTTTAGATAAAATGAGAACATATTCCCTTTTAAAGAACATATGTACAATGGTCCCAGCCTCCCTCCTGCTTGAATGCAGTAATTTTAGTCTTTTGCAAAATTTTCTTTCTGTGTATTTCTGGGAGTTTCTAGGAGATGGTAACTGTTAAACTAATTCCTTCCCTTGCTGCTGTGTTCCTCAGCTAGCCAGCACTCTCAGTTCTGCGCAAGGGCCACAGCTGACGTTCATGTATCCCCTACTTCCTGAAATGGCTCCCTTTGGACTGCTACTGCTCTCCCCCATGATGTTTCATCCAAGCATGGGCCTCTAATTCTACAAGATTTACAGTGTGTTCAATAATAGAAAAAAAAACAACAAAGAGGACAATTTATAATAGCAACTAGATATGGTAACTATTAAAGCCAACATACCCAGACCCTTAGCTTCTGGCCTAATGCCTTATTGCAGAATCCACTTTGCCTACCCCCGAAGGACTACTCACAGGTAGATAGTACTCAATCGAAATCCAGAGCCATGCTTCCTCTAAGTCTCTTAGGAGGAAGCTGTGTTCTTTTCATCTTCAGTTTTTTCTAGTTTAACACATGCCTTCTTAAACTTCGTATTAGTACTGGAATGGATCTCTCCATTGGAACACAGACAGTAAAAATATCTACTTCCTTTGGAAGGAATTTTACCTTCTACCCGCAGGGACATGGTCTGGTCCCAGGATTTCAATTTCACAACCATGCTCTATCACGGTTCACTACCTTAGTAGTGAAGCATTGGTATATATATGACAAGTGGAAAAAGACAGATAGATTTATCAGTCCAGGTTTCCTTCCCTTCTATAATTATATCTCACCCTCAAGCAGACTCTGTGGCCTACATACCTTTCCTGCTATTTTTGGATTTTGGGGGGAATGTCAATTTCTGATTGCCTTTGAGATAGCTTGCCCAGTCTTCATCCACACCCCATCATCACAGACACACACACGTTTCGGTTTTTTATTTATTTATTTTTGAGACAGAGTCTCGCTCTGTCCCCCAGGCTGGAGGGCAGTGGCGTGGTCTCAGCTCATTGCAAGCTCCACCTCCCAGGTTCACGCCATTCTCCTGCCTCAGCCTTCCGAGTAGCTGGGACTACAGGCGCCCGCCACCACGCCTGGCTAATTTTTTGTGTTTTTAGTAGAGACGGGGTTTCACCATGTTAGCCAGGATGGTCTTGATCTCCTGACCTCATGATCCACCCACCTCGGCCTCCCAAAGTGCTGGGATTACAGGCATGAGCCACCGCGTCCTGCCTGTTTGTTTGTTTTTTGAGGTGGAGTCTCGCTGTGTTGCCCAGGCTGGAGTGCAGTGGCACCATCTCAGCTTACCGCAACCTCTGCCTCCCAGATTCAAGTAATTCTCCTGCCTCAGCCTCCCGAGTAGCTAGGATTACAGGCACTTGCCACTACGCCTGGCTAATTTTTGTATTTTTAGTCGAGATGGGGTTTCACCATGTTGGTCAGGCTGGTCTTGAACTCCTGACCTCATGATCTGCCCACCTCGACCTCCCAAAGTGCTGGGATTATAGGCGTGAGCCACTGTGCCAGGCCTGAACACACACACGTTTTCTTTTTTTTTTTTTTTATAAGGAAAAGAGGTTTAATTGGCATATGGTTCTGCAGGCTGTGCAAGCTTCTGCTTCTGGGGAGGCATCACCAAAACTTACAATCATGGTGGAAGGCGAAGGGGAAGTGAGCACACTTACACGGCAGGAGCAAGAGGAGGGGGGTGTGGGGAGGTGCTATACACTTTTAAACAAGCAGATCTCTTGAGAACTCTGTCATAAGACAGCACTAGGGGGATAGTGCGAAACCATAAGAAAGCATCCTCATGATCCAATCACCTCCCACCAGGCCCCTCCTCCAATACTGGGGATTATAATTTGATGTGAGATTTGGGTGGGGACACAAATCCAAATTATATCACCTTGCATTTTTACAGTTCTTAAGTCCAACTTTCTTTCTTTTTTATTATTATTTAAGTTTTAGGGTACATGTGCACAACGTGCAGGTTAGTTACATATGTATACATGTGCCATGCTGGTGTGCTGCACCCATTAACTCGTCATTTAACATTAGGTATATCTCCTAATGCTATCCCTCCCCCCTCCCCCCAACCTACAACAGGCCCTGGTGTGTGATGTTCCCCTTCCTGTGTCCATATGTTCTCATTGTTCAATTCCCACCTATGAGTGAGAACATGCGGTGCTTGGTTTTTTTGTCCTTGCGATAGTTTGCTGAGAATAATGGTTTCCAGCTTCATCCATGTCCCTACAAAGGACATGAACTCATCATTTTTTATGGCTGCATAGTATTCCATGGTGTATATGTGCCACATTTTCTTAATCCAGTCTATCATTGTTGGACATTTGGCTTGGTTCCAAGTCTTTGCTATTGTGAATAGTGCCACAATAAACATATGTGTGCGTGTGTCTTTAGAGCAGCATGATTTATAATCCTTTGCGTATATACCCAGTAATGGGATTTCTGGGTCAAATGGTATTTCTAGTTCTAGATCCTTGAGGAATCGCCACACTGACTTCCACAATGGTTGAACTAGTTTACAGTCCCACCAATAGTGTAAAAGTGTTCCTATTTCTCCACATCCTCTCCAGCACCTGTTGTTTCCTGACTTTTTAATGATCGCCATTCTAACTGGTGAGATGATATCTCACTGTGGTTTTGATTTGCATTTCTCTGATGGCCAGTGGTGATGAGCATTTTTTCATGTGTCTTTTGGCTGCATAAATGTCTTCTTTTGAGAAGTGCCTGTTCATATCCTTTGCCCACTTTTTGGTGGGGTTGTTTGTTTTTTTCTTGTAAATTTGTTTGAGTTCATTGTAGATTCTGGATATTAGCCCTTTGTCAGATGAGTAGATTGCAAAAATTTTCTCCCATTCTGTAGGTTGCCTGTTCACTCTGATGGTAGTTTCTTTTGCTGTGTACACACACACACACATTTTCTAAGAAAATAATAATATGTACCTGGATAGGTCAGTTTAAGTTCATACTTGGAAAGGGAATCTTGCTCTAAAGAAAATAATATATAGGCATTTCACTGCCCGCTAGAAAGGATCTCTTTTTTGTCACCTTGCTCCACTACTTTTAGCTTCTAACACCTGTGTACCCTGAAAAATCTCTGCTATATATTTGCATATCTCATGGTCCTTCTGAAAAAAAATGTTCTTTGAATAATGAAATGATCTGTCTGGAAGGCAAAATCAAGTGTTTACTTCTTGCAATAGAAATTTTCTCTGCTGGATGCTCCAGGATGACTAGGTTTTCAGGTTGCTGCCTTCCCATTAAAATAAGGTGACCACTTTCCTTCGTTTCTATTTGTGTGTTTAGTAGGTATCTGAAACATAATGTGGCCAAAATAGAACTTTTTATTCCTTCTCTCTCCAAATTTCCTTTATCCCTCTGTACCCTATTTTGTTAAAGGGCAGCTGCAAGGATTTAGTTGCTCAAGTAAAAGCCTATGAATCTTCTTTGATCCATCTCTTTCCCTTCATGCCTCTTTTCCCCTCCTTGCAAGCATTAATTTTTGTCTTGTTGGCTGCACACAAAATATATCCCAAATTCATCCATTTCTCTCCCCCATAGTCATGTGATCCTTTCATTCTTGCAATAAATCCTCTTACTGGTCTCTTTGCTTTCATTCTTCTATTTCCCAGCCTGAGTTTTTAAGTAGAATTCAAATCATATCACTTTCCTGCTCAAAACTCAAACACAGTTTTCTATAGCACTTAGAATAATGTCTAGATTGCTTTCCATGGCCTACAAAATTCTATATGATGAAGAAAGAATTCTTCATTCCTGGTGACTTTTTGGCTCTGGACGGAGAGGAGGTGTCAAGATTAAATATCTGACATGCAATGTGACATGAAATGTTCAAGATAGTTCAGGTGACACTCATCAATTCTGCTTCTTCAGTTAAATGTGAAATGCAGGCTGCTGGTTAATTCACGTTCTAGAGAATAAAGAGAGAAATCAAAGTTGGGTTGGGGATAAGAGTGGGAGAGGAGAAAAACAAAAGACACACACAAAAACAAAAGCAAATGCAATAAAAACAGAGATAAATAGATGGGACTTAATTAAACTAAAAAAATCTGCCCAGCAGAAGAAATAATCAGCAGTATAAACAGACAACCCACAGAGTGGGAGAAAATCTTCATAATCTATACATCTGACAAAGGACTAATATCCAGAATGTACAAGGAACTCCAAAAATCAGGAAGAAAAAACAAACAATCTCATCAAAAAGTGAACTAAGGACATGAATAGACAATTCTCAAAAGAAGATGTGAAAATGGCCAAGAAACATATGAAAAAAATCCTCAACATCACTAATGATCAGGGAAATACAAATCAGAGCCACCGTGTGATACCACCTTACTCCTTCTGCAAGAATGGCCATAATCAGAAAATCAAAAAATAATAGATGTTGGCAGGGATGTGGTAAAAAGGGAAACCTTCTACACTACTGGTGGGAATGTAAACCAGTACAACCACTATGGAAAACAGTGTGGAGATTCCTTAAAGAACTAAAAGTAGAACTACCATTGAATCCAGCAATCCTACTACTGCTTATCTACCCAGAGGAAAAGAAGTCATTATACGAGAAAGATACTTGTACACACATGTTTATAGCAGCACAGTTCACAACTGCAAAAAATGTGGAACCAACCCAAATGCCTATCAATCAACAAGTGGATAAAGAAATTGTATCTATCTATCTATCTATCTATCTATCTATCTATCTATCTATCTACTCATCCATAGAAAGGAACGGAATAATGGCATTTGCAGCAGCAGCAACCTGGATGGTATTGGAGACCATATTCTAAATAAAGTAACTGAGGGATGGAAAGCCGAACATTGTGTGTTCTTACTTATAAGTGGGAGCTAAGCTATAAGGACGCAAAGGCCTAAGAATGATACAGTGGACTTTGGGGACTCAGGGGAAAGGGTGGGGGGCAGTAGGGGATAAAAGACTACAAATTGGGTTCAGTGTATACTGCTTGGGTGATGGGTGCACCAAAATGTCATGAATCACCACTAAAGAACTTACTCATGTAACCAAATACCACCTGTTTCCCAAAACCTATGAAAATCAAAATTAAAAATTAAAAAAAAAAACACAAAAAGAGAGTGAAAGAGTAGCAAATGGTTTTACTAAAGTTCAGAAAAGAAATTTCAAAAAGCGAACACAGTATTACTTGTAAGAAAACAAAATAGGTTAGATTCACCTGCTGCTTCTTAAATGGTAATCATGTAAAAGAAAAGGCCTCATAGAAACATGGCCAGTGCTGGTCCATTAATGTGCACAGACACATGTATACATGTGTCCCTCTATCTGAGTCATTGGTAGCAAAGTTGGGAGTGTCGGGATCTCCCATGGCTCATGCCACCTGCCAGGTGAAGAGAATACTTTGAGGTCACAAAATCCCCAAGGTGTTTTGTGAAGTGTGACACAGCTCTGGTTACTATTCCATGTGATCATCACACACTACCAGGAGGCAGAAGGTGAAGGTCAAAGCAGCTTCCTTGGAAAGGGGGCAGCTCCACAGACACGTGCTGCCTTTGCTCTGTGGTGTTTAAGCCCGTGGAACATGGAGATGAAACGGAAAACAGCACAAAACAATTTATGCCCCAAGAAATCTTGAGCCCAATTTATTTTTTAAGGCATTGCTAGCACTAGTTGGTGCAAAAGTAATTGTGGTTTTTGTCATTACTTTTCATTGCAAAAACCACAATTACATTTGCACCAACCTAATAGTAGTCATAGAAAAATGACAACTTCTACTTAGAATCAGAAGGCCAGAAGTTGGGCAAGAGGTCCAAGAAGGCCTGCTTCTTGTAGTGGAATTGTCAAATGGAAACATTCTGCTCCTGTTGGGTAAATATGTCTGTGTTGAGACCCCACCCCTCTAGTGGTGGTTTCCTCACTCTCTGGAGAAAAGCAGGGGGTCTCACTGCAGAAGACCTGGAGGGCAGCAAACAGGCAGTTCTAGCCGATGAGGAGGGTTGGGAGGGTGAACCTGGGCTGTTCTCTTCTTAATTAGCTCTGGCCTGCCGAGGAGAGCAAATGAACTCTCTGTGATGAAGAAGCAGCAGCAGCTGTCAGAAAGAACCTAAAGGCATCTTGATGTCAGGTTGTCCTGAAGCCTGGGAGGCCAACATCAGTCCTCAGAAGAGTGCAAAATATGAGCAGAAAGGGCTCAGGGAGTAGGGCAGGGATTTATTTACTTTAATATTTGCTCCCCGATCCTAGCCGTTTACCTATATTTTTAATGTTATAATTTAAAACTATATGTCATAAAACACTGTAGTTTAATTGCTCCATGTTATGATTAACATTATGATGTAATAATTTCACTGTTTAATGTTATGATTGAATGATTATATTTTTAATTATACATACAATTTCTAACTATATGTATATGATGAAGTATATGCACACAACACCAACATGTACACATGCATTGGGCAGCCTCATGTTTCTATGAGGTTTACTCTTTTACACGTTCACTACCTTAGAAGCGGCAACCTAGTTTGATCTAATCTAACAGGTTTCATTTTTTACAAGTAATGTTTCTACACCCACACACATACATATTTATAAGTGTAATATTTGTGGCCATTTTTAAAGGATAAACTTTCCAGCTCCATCAAACCTATCTACTGCTGACGTCCAGTGCTGGACAGATCCACGTGAGTCTAACTGAGTCGTTGCTTCTTCCCGTCAGCAGGGTGCCTAGACTGCAGGATCAGCCCACTGAGTTATTAAGAACAAACATGTCATGCTTCTCATTCTGCCTGGGTGCCCACCGAGGGACTTGCCTGTGTCAGTGTCCATCAGATGACTCAGCTGTTTTTACCATGCAGCTTTTTCCTTCTAAAACACTTTGGTTTCAGTGTTCTCTTGGCCATCTGTCTCACACTGAGTAAGTCATTTCACCTTTCCAGGACTCCTGTTTATCCTCTGTGACATGATGAGACTGGACTATTTGACCTCCTGGACCCCTGGGACACTGACAGTCTCTGTTTCTATAATGTCTATCTGACTCCTCAAGCTACAGGGGTCCCTGCGTATAATCCATTTATTCTCCTTGAGCCACTTCTGTTTTATGAATAGCTTGACCAAGTGACCTAGTGGTCTTCACTTCTGCTGTGTATTTGCTGAACTGCAGGCAAAGAAGTCATCGATGGCCCTCTAGTTCTCTGCACGCTGCCTAGCTTTTCTGTGGTATAAGATCTTCTATAGTCCTTATTTGCAGATTGCTGGTCCATTCTCCAGAATTTCTGACTCAGGAGATCTGAGATGAAGCCTGATCATTTGCATTTCTGACATGTCCCGTTTGCTGCTGTCGCCACTGTTCCCTTGAGAACCTTGAGAACCACGGATCTAGACTGAGAATGGGAGGCAGTTCATCCCTGGTAAGGAGTGGAGAGTAAAAAAGATGAAGGCACACAAGACCATGGCGTGCTTGGGGTATGACACAGTTCATTTGTCCAGAGTACATGTCCCAAATTGAGCAAGTAACAAGAAAAGAGTCAGATTATAGACGGCTAAAAAGTTTGGACTTTATCCTGAAAGGCTGTATCTAAGCATTTGAGTGAAGGGGGGACATGATGAGATTTGTGATTTACAAAGACTGCTCTGCATGTAAGGTGGAGAGCATGCTGGATGGGATCCACATTGGACCAGGACACTGACCAGCAGATGCCATCATCTAGATTAGAACCAAAGAGGTTAATAGCAGGGAACCAATGCATGGCAATGTGGATTAAGAGTTAGAGAGAGGGATGGCCGGGCGCGGTGGCTCACACCTGTAATCCCAGCACTTTGTGAGGCCGTGGGAGGCAGGTCACGAGGTCCGGAGATCGAGAACATCCTGGCTAACATGATGAAACCCGTCTCTACTAAAAATACACAAAATTAGCCGGGCGTGGTGGCACACACCTGTAGTCCCAGCTGCTCAGAAGGCTGAGGCAGGAGAATAGCTTGAACCCGGGAGGCGGAGGTTGCAGTGAGCCGAGATCGCACCAGGGCACTCCAGCCTGGGCAACAGAGCGAGACTGTATCTCAAAAAAAAAAAAAAAAAAAAGAGAGAGAGGCAATAGCTATTTGGAGACTCATTGGCCAATTAAATATTGAAGGAAAATTTTTAAATGTTTTATAACAAATCAAAAAGTTCATCAGGCTCTTTAGTGTCATATTACCATATTATCTTTCCATCTTTGATTCTTCTAGACATTATACATATATTTGCTTTGTGAAATTCTTAATTATCTTTTTATTTTTCATATTGTTTCTTCCCGGATCATTCAATAGATTTAGTAGCTTGTATTTAAGAGAGGGTTAGTAGCTTAGTAGCCGGGCCTGGTGACACACATGTGTAATCCTAGCCACTCAGGAGGCCGAGGCAGGAGGATCACTTGACCCCAGGAGTTCGAGGCTACGGTGAGCTATAATTGTACCACTGCACTCCAGCCCTGGGTGACAGAGTGAAACTCCTCTAAAAATTTTAAAAGAAAAAAGAGAGAGAGGGTGAGTAAAGTTGCTGCAAAGGAAAATAGTATATATAAAAATTCTTGGGGCAATTGTGTATGTAATAAAGGTGTTGTTGATGTCTGTTTTGGTGGCACAGTGTAGCTTGTTCCTAAATAGTTGGTCCTCGGTTAGCAGGACTCAGATGGTGGGTTGCAAGCAAGGCCAAGTCATAGTCACAAAAGCATTATCTATACAAGGTCATAGTATCTGTAGGCAGAAGTTGCAGCCACTATTACTTCCTTTTATTTCTTTTTCTTCTCCTCCCCAAATTTCTATATGCATGTACACACACACATGCCCAGTATAAAAGACTGTCTGGGTCGGTCAGCCCTAGGCACTCCCAATCTGAGCTTCTACAATACCTGCACAACACTTCCTCACAGCACTTTGCATGCTTCACTGTTGTTTCTCTGGTGTGTCTGCCTCCCTATCTAGCCTGTGAGGCCTTTGAGGGAAGGAATTCTTACGAGAGAGGAGCAGAGGAAGCAAGTGATCACTCAGCTTCAGGGCTTAGTCCCAGCGACGGTCTTGGCGGATGGAGTTTTAGACTCACGCTGAGAGACGGTTTGTTTCAGGATATCTGCAAAATCCCTGATAAATCTGGTTTTGCCTCAGTCGGAATTCTCAGAGGAACCCAAGAAAAGATTTCTTTCCCAAAGGATTCTACAACACAGTAAAAAGCTGCACTGACAGCTTTCCTGGCTCAAATTATACTCGAACGGTGGTGTCTGGAGGCTTTATCCTGTCCTAACCTTTCCTCGAAGGCAATATTCAGAAGTGCACTGCATAAACCAGGTACAGGCGGAACTGCTCTGCTTCCCTGGCCACGCCCCTTTCTTCTTCTGGTGAAGGGTGTGTTTCTCAACATTGTTTTAAAAGTCTTATTTTTTTAAATTAAATGGCTTAATTTTAAAAATTAAGTCCTTCAGTAAAACTTTTACAATTTATCTTCCTATCAAGGAAGTCTGGTGGAATCTCAGTTTCTGTGGTTAATTTTTTTTTTAAGTGTAAAATATGCTTGTTAATATACGTGCTCCTCTAGACATTCTGGTGCGGACTCCTAAGGAGTTTCTGGCCCCATAGCTGGAGTTTGAAATAACTCACTGCTCATGGTATATGGTCCAGTGCACAAAGTCCTCAGCCAGCCAGACCCTGTGGCCTTGCCTAGGACCATTTTTATGATCATTCATCTGAGCAAGGGTGGATGTGAGCTGAGACCCTACATTTTATTATTTCTCAGATATGTTCCCTGAAAACAAATTAGTTTTGAATTAACTATTCTGACCTGGGATTAAGAATTTTGTGTTCCAGAAGTCACGTGTAATTCTTACATGTTTTAGTAATATGGCAAAAAGTCATTAAGCTTCTATTGTTTGTTGTCCTTATAAATGGATTATTGGCTAATTTTAAAAAATATTTTCTTTTCTTCCTTCTCTGGCTTGCACAATCACCTTTGACTCAGCATTTGTCTGTGCAATTAAACCATTTTCTCCGAAGACCATTAACAAGGGCTCGCTGTACATTTCCCTTGTCGTGCTCTTCATGGATAATGCTACATAACAGACTAAAATGGGCAAAGCAATGCTGTTGGGAAGAAAGAAGATTGCTTTACTTTGTAATATTAACAAAGCATAGGTTTTACTCCTAGAATGTACACACATTGAAGATCAGATGGATATTTTTTTTATAGATCCTAGAATTATGTTGAGTCCTTGATCCATGGAAAGTTTTCTTTCTGCTCAATACTATATTCAAGTTGTAACCTTTCTCGGCTGCAAGTTTAATTCAAGCTCATATTGCTTCTTTATCGAACTTGGGTGTGGCAATAAAACTGGAAACTTTCACTTGGGTTTGATTTGTCCTAGAATCTTTATATTCTGTCAGATTAAACCATGCTTAGCACAAGTTTGACTTAGCTTGTGGTTTCGAGGCAAATCATGTGAGTCATTTAATAAGACAGAAGGTCTTTCCTGTCCATAACCAATGTGTTTATATATTAAAAATATAAAATCAAGAAATAAACACCATACTATACATGTGATGGGTGCGCGGAAGTCCTTAGGGTCAAGCTGCAGGGTGTTAACAGGAGATATTAGCATCCGTGGAAGATTTAACTAGGTCATTCAGTATCTGTCAATTTGCTTTATGGCTAACTCTACACACTGAAAGAGAAAAACCTTGAATTGCGAAATTGCATGTCGTATAATATTCCTGGATGCATTTTGCTTTTTATTAGTTTCCAGATAAAAATACAAGGTGGTTTCTCATTTCTCTAAGTGCTTACATGTATGTACTCATCTTCCTTTACGGTATTCATGCATTCAGTTATTTGTTTCTAAAATATGGGGGGCGGAGGTCGTCATTTGCTCAGTGATATCATAGAAGACTCAGGCACTTGGTAACTTTCTCTTAAGTATTCTCAAAAGTTTGGCTTTCAGTTCTCTCCTTGTCATCTCATGGTCTCAAACTGCAGACTTTAAAAACATGTGAACAAATAAAATGCATATAAAAACAGAAAATGAGAGGAAGCCAGGAAAGCCAGAGAGCTAACTCTTACTCTCTCCTCTCCTCTGTCTCTGTCTGTCTTTCTCTCTCTCTCTCTCTCTCTCTCAAAGTGCATCTCCTAGGGGTTCACCCTTGTATCTCACTCCCTATATTAGGTTGAGGGAAATGGGAATGAGAAAATTGGTGCCTAGGCTTCTCATCAGCCACTGTTCTGGGAAGCAGATTCAGTAAGCAAAAATAATGGTGGAAAGGAGTGAAGAGAGAGAGAGAGAGAGAAAGAGAAGGAAAGGAAAGGAAGGGAGAGAGAGAAGGAAAGAGAGAAAGAGAGAGAGAAAGAAAGAGAGAGAGAAAGAGAAAGAAAGAGAGAATGAGAAAAAAGAAAAAAGAGAGAAAAGGGAAAGGAAGAAAGAAAAATAAAGGAAGAAAGAAAGAGAAAGAAAAGAAAAGAAAAAGAAGCATTCTACAATCAGAATGAAAAACAGAACAATAACCGTTGTTGGAGTTTATTCATTCATTCCGTCAGCTAAATCAGTATGAGCTCTGTAGCTGATGTTGCCATGGAAACCAGGCAGGAACAGAGCTGCCTGGTTCCTGCCTGTTCCAGGCTTTGGATCCTGTAAATTCTAAGATTTTAAAAGGATTTTTGCTTATGTTAGTTAGTCTGCTCTTGACAACCAAAGGCACTCTAACTGATTCTGAGAGTACCAAGTTGGAAGTTAGATTATCTGGGTTCTGACATCAGATCTGCCATTCAATGTTTGTGTGGCCTGGAATTAGTTGTGTCACCTCTCTGAACATCAGCTTTTTCATCTGTGGAATCAAAATTGTTTAATTGCTTGAACCCCATTGTTACTATCAGTTTTATGATTTTGTGAGATCTATTATTATAGTCAATTACAGGCCTTCTGTCTCTTGACTATCCATGGAATCATTGTATAAATTTGCTTTTCCTTCTACATGAAAAACCAAACATCTTATTAACATCATGATGAATAAATTAGAATAGAAATTAGATTTAAAAAGCTGAGAGGCCTTTGAAGGCCAAATTGTATGCCTAAAATGTTAAGATTTTATTATCCTGGAAAGAGATTTGGTAACCATGTGGAGCAGGATGGATTTGAAGGTAATATTCCATAAAGCTTTTTTTCCTTTTTTTTTTTAACTTTTGCTATCCTTTTGCAGTAAATTAGCAAACATTAATTAAGTAACTACTATGTGTTTGGCACAGCACCAGGTACTGAAGATGCAATAGGATGTGGTATAAACCTCTTTCGACTAAGTCTGGCAACAGTTAAGAGAGACCCAAGGAAATAACAGCCTAAAGCAGGGAGAATTGTGTGTCTTTCTCATGGAAAGCCCAGAAGTAGGCAGACCAGGGTGGGATATGGAGACCCAGGCTCCCCTCCTATTGTTGCTTTGCCCCATGTGGGTCTCTGTTCCCACAGTCACTTCACTTCATCCACTCAGGGTGGCTGGTCTAGCCTCATTTAGCAGATCTGGTTTAACTGGCAAGAAGGAGAAAAAAAAAAAGAAAAAAAGAAAAAGAAAAACAAGATATGCATTGGCTGTTTTTGAGGGAAGGTTTCTGGGAGCTGCCCGATGAGCTTCTCTCACTGGATGCAAGATAATCGTACCACTGCATTTAATGGCAAGCGGGGCCAGAAATATGGTCTTTATTTCTTTTGCTTTATGCCTAGCAAAAAATTAGGGGTTCTATTGTTTTGGAAAGAGAAGATGGATATCGATAAACAACTGGCAGGTTTTGCTATACATGGTGACACAGGTTTCTCAAGATGAACATGTAAGTAGTTAGTTAAAATTTAGTATAGTTTAAAATTTGGTATAGAAATGACAGTGTCCATGCACACATGCGTTCCCCAGTGTATGCAGCGTAGCGCAAGTAGAGAGAAAACGGGAAAGGCTTCTAGGATGAGGTAATGCATAAACTGAGACTTGAGGTTGAAATTAAATTTAAGTAAAAACATCATAAGGTTGCAGGGTACTGTCGAAAGTTCAGTGCTCACGATTAAAGAAATGCAAATCAAAGCCAAAGTGAGATATAATCTTATCCCAGTTAAAATAAAAAGATAGGGAATGACAGATGGTGGTGAGGATGTGGAGAAAGGGGAACCCTCATACGTTGCTAGTAGGAATGTAAATTAGTACAGCCACTGTGGAAAACAGTATGGAGTTTCCTTAAAAAAAAAAAAAAAAACTAAACTAAAAAATAGAACTACCGTATGATCCAGCAATCCCACTACTAAGTATATATCCAAAAGAAATGACATCAGTATATTGAAGCGATATCCTCACTCACATGTACTTTGCAGCAGTGCTCACAATAGCCAAAATGTGGAGTCAATCTAAGTGTTCATCAATGGGTGAAAGGATAAGAAAAATGTGGTAGATGTACACAATGGAATATTACCCAACCATAAAAAAAGCATGAAATCCTGTCCTTTGCAGCAACTTGGATAGAACTAGAGGTCATTATGTTAAGGGAAGTGAGTCAGGCACAGAAAGACAAATATCCCATGATTTCAGTCATATGTGAGACTGTGAGAGCTAGCGAGTGGATCTCATGAAGATAGAGAGTAGTGTGGTGGCTACCAGAGGCTGCGAATGGCAGTGTGGAGGAGGGAAGAGAAGTTGATTAATGGGTACAGATACACAGCTTGAAAGAAGACATAACACCTGGTGTTCCGTAGATCAGTAAATTTACTAGAGTTAATATTAGCTGATTGGACATTTCAAAATAACTAGAAGATAATAATTTGAATGTCCCTAGCATAAAGAAATGATAAATAATTAAGGTGACGGATATCCAAGTTACCTTGATTTGATTATGTAAATGTATGAAATTATCACATGGACATCTAACATGTATCAATTTTTAGAAGTTCAGTGCTAGGGAAACATACATTCTGACTTACGGGTGCTGGGGAGTGATGCTGGAGTAGCAGGTGGGGACTATATTATGGAACCCTTTTCATGTCACCATATGATTCCTGTAAAAAGATTATAAGATTTTTTTTATATAAGCCAATGACCTACAAAACTACAATAATTTAATCCTGTATGCTAGCAATGGACAATATAACAATAAAAATAGCATCAAAAAGTACAAAGCACTTAGGAATAAATGTAAGAAAAGAAGTGCAAGAAGTACACACTGAAAACTACAAACATGGATGTGAAAAATTAAAGATCTACAGAAATGGAGAGACATTACGTGTTCACAGATAGGAAGATTCTATGTAGTTAAGACTGTCGTTCTGCAGTGGATCTGCAGATTCAACCCAATCCCTATCTAAGCTCCCCCCAGGCCTTTTTTTTTTTTTCCAGAAATTGACAAACTGCTCCTAAAATATATATGGAAATGGAAATGACCTAGAACAGCCAAGCAACTTTGAAAAAGAAGAAAGTTAGCGGATTTACACCACTCATTTCAAAATTTATGACCAGCCTACATTTATCAGGCAATGTGGTTTTGGCTTAATAGACATATAAGCCCAGTGCAGTGGCTCACACCAGTAATCCCAACACTTTGTGAGGCTGAGACAGGAGGATTGCTTGAAGCCAGGAGTTTGAGACCAGCCTGGGCAATAAAATGAGATCCCTTCTCTCCAAAAAAAAATATATGTATTTAAAAATTAGCTGAATTAGCTGAGTACAGTGTCTCAAGCCTGTGGTCCCAGCTACTCAGGAGGCTGAAGTGGGAGGATCACTTAAGCCCAGGAGTCCAAGGGTGCAGTGAGCTATTGTCTCACCACTGCACTCTGGCATCTCAAAAGAGAGAGAGAAAGAGAGAGAGAGAGAGAGAATAGACATATACAACAATGGAACAGAATTAAGAGATCCCAAAATAAGCCTTTATATGTATGGTCAGTTGGTTTTCAACATAGGTGTAAAGGCAATTCAAAGGGGGTAAGCATTGTTTTCTAAACAAATAGTGCTGGGACAATTATATATCCATACAAAAAGCAGCGAATTTAAATCCTTACCTTACACTATACATAAAATTACCTCAAAATGAATAATAGAACTAAACAGAGGAGCAAAAGTTATAAAACGTCTAAAAGAAAACATGGTAGAAAATTTTTCTGATCTTGAGTTAGGCAATGAGTTTTTAGATGTAACACCAAAACCACAATCTATAAAAGAAACATTGATAAACTGAACTTTGTCAAAATTAAAACCTTTTGCTTTTCAAAAGATACTGTTAAGAAAACAGCCAAGCCATATCTTGAGAGGAAATATTTGCAAATCATTTATCTGATAAAGACATGTATTCAGAATGCACAGAGGGATCTTACAACTCAATAAGACAAATGATTAATTAGAAAATGGGAAAAGAGGCCAGGCATGGTGGCTCACGCCTGTAATCCCAGCACTTTGAGAGACCAAGGTGGGTGGATCGCTTGAGGTCAGGAGTTCGAGACCAGCCTGCCCAACATGGCAAAACCCTGTCTCTACTAAAAATACAAAAATTAGCCAGGCGTGGTGGTGCGTGCCTATAGAGTTTGAGACCAGCCTGCCCAACATGGCAAAACCCTGTCTCCTAAAAATACAAAAATTAGCCAGGCATGGTTAATCAAAATGTGATCTTACCACTAGAGTTCCAGAAAATCATTAAGAGGAAGACACTCCACATTTATAAAGATATTGTTATAATAAATAAATTTTTTATTAGAACTAGAGGGGGTACTATTAATTTTTATCAAATAGACTATTCTATGTCATCAAAAGCCATAAATAGAGGCTCTTTCATTTGTAAAATGAAAAAACAGTGGCAGAGTCCTCCCCAGCTAGCTTCAAGGAGTGTTTATATCATCTCTTGCCCAGTTTCACAGTATATTGTATGAACAAATTAATCAACTAGAAGTCATTTCAGATCTAGTTTCATCAAAGGCAACTTGAGAACATTTTGGCCTGAAGAAAAGGAGAAAAGGGTGGAGAACTTAGGGAGGAGGGATTTCTAGACTAGTCAAGGGAAACAGGAGGGAGTACGACCAACAACCAAAAGAGTTATCATGATCAGAGGTAAAACTTGAAAAGATGAGGAAATATAAATTTATAAAGCACTAACTTGCATCTTGATGTCCACTACAATGTCCCTCTCAGTAGACAAATTTGCTCTCTCCTTCTTAGAGCACCATGAGGGGTCCAGAAGCAATATGGGGACAACCAAAGTGTCTGTTTCCTTCCCAAGCTTCCTGCCTCCTCCCGATCTACAAGCACACCTAAGACTGCAGCTGTACTCACGGTCCTAGGACAGAACACTAGGGTGAAGGGGGCCTGGTCCCAGCCTTCTTCCTGTCCTCTCTTTCCCTGCGTCATTGTACTTAATGATTCAGAAAATGCTCAGGCATTGTACAGGCCTTGAGGTTAATGTTTTTGCTCACTCAGAGCACAGAACTGTGAGTCAAAGTGGGCTCCATTGTTGATGGGCCCCATGGCATACCCAGCAACTGTTAGTAGAAAAATTAGTTTTTGTGCCCTGGCCGGGTGCGGTGGCTCATGATAGTAATCCCAGAACTTTGGGAGGCTAAGGTGGGCAGATCAGTTGAGGTCAGGAGTTCAGGACCAGACTGACTAACATGGCGAAACCCTCTCTCTACTAAAAATACAAAAATTAGTCAGGCGTGGTGGCACACACCTGTAGTCCCAGCTACTCAGGAGGCTGAGGCACAAGAATCACTTGAACCTGGGAGGCGGAGTTTTCAGTGAGCCGAGATCACACCACTGCACTTCAGCCTGGGCTATGGAGTAAGACTCTGTCTCAAATAAATAAATAAATAAATAAAAATTAGTTTTTGTGCCCCAAATTCATCATGTTTTCTGATTATATGGACTCATATTAAGTAGGAATTTCCAAGAAGTATAAGGCAAGGTTAGAAAAGTCAGATTTATATTAGAAGGACAGAATTATTCAGTGAAAAAAAAAAACTTAAATATAAATTGATGGAAGTCATTGGTTTTGTGAACTGATGGACTCCTCCTCTTGTAGCCAGAAGCTGACTGTGGTGCAGTAGCCCTTCACGCTGAACTTCCGAGGTTATCTGTTTCCTGTTACAGATCCTCAACAATATATTTTAACACAGTCAATCTCTATGGTTTTAAGGTAGGAGGCCAAGCCCATTGCTATTCTTTATGTTCAGTCTTTATCTTCATAGATAAGTTTTATGAATGTTCAAGATTTGCACTAGCAAAATGATTTTAAAATAGTTCTGATCATTTCCCGGAAGTTTCTCCTTCACTCTCCCCTGACGGTGTGGCCGATTTCCCAGACCAGTCAAGTTCATTTCGGATGATAAACTGATAAGATGCATATTTCCCTGGGGGAGGAAAGAAGGAAGTGGACTACTACACCGTTAGAAAAAAGCTCTTTCAATATTTTATTAAACCATCTCTGGTATAACCCCATTTCTGTCTCTTCAAATATTTAGAGCAGCTCAATTAGCTTGAGAAGGCGGTTTCGGAGAGCTTTCAGCTAATTCATGGCCACAGACAGATGGCACCGGATGACTGGAGTGTGGAGGAAGTCTACCCTCTAAATGAGGGCGAGGAGATGTGGAAGCTACACGCGTGAGGACTCTTGGCAAGAACGTAGCTTGTGGCTGCCAAGAATTCAAAGGTCAGAGAAGAGGTTTAGAGATTTCACTACCGTGGGAAGTTTCCCATCGTCTGCTTCCTCGATTCATTTTCTGAGAGGTGTTCTAGCTGCAAAGTGCTGGCATATACCTGCAGTATGAGGGGACTTTTTCTTGGGGAGCAAGGTCTGAACCAGAAGTCCGTGGGCCATCTGTTCTGGCTTTATCAGAAAGTTGGAATGAGGGAAGCAGAGGAGAATTATATCTGAAATCTTTTTAAAGTACCAGGCATTGCATTTTCCAAATTTGTTTTTTAAAACCCCACAAGTTAGGTATGGTTTTTCCTTCTTTTTTTTTTTTTTAATTTTTTATTTTGATCTAATTTTAGACTTACAAAAAGTTGCAAAAATAGTGCAGAGGTTTCCTATTTACCCCTCACTCAGCTGCTGCTGCTATTAGCATTTTATGTAATCATAGTTGAATAATCAAAACCAGGTAATTAACGTTAGTACGATCCTATTAAACTACAAGCCTGTTCCAAATTTCATTGTTTTATTCATATTTTTCTTTCTCTGTTTTCTTTCTATTTAAAGATAGGGGCAACCAGGCATAAAGTAAACTTACCTCAGGGATATAATCAGCCCAGATCTGATGCCAAAGCATGTGATTTTTTTTTTTAACTACCCCGTGCTTGATCTAATATTTTGGAAAGAGCTTCAGACTCCAGCACTCTTCAGGAAATCTAAGTTCTTTTCCTGGATCTGCCTTTATTAACTGTGCATCTGGATCCAAGTCATTTTTCTATGAAACTCAGTGTCCTCACATGTACTTTTATGATCATTTTATTGCTGCATTTATAAGATTCTACTTATGATTCTATCATCTAGTTGGGTTTATCTCTCTGTACCTTGGGTTTCTTATCTGTTCAGCGGGCTCAATGCCCATAGTAGTCTTTATAGATAGATAATATAACATTTATTTCAGTCATTTTTTTTATGTGTAACAAACTCCTTTTAACCTAGTGGATTTTATCTATATTTATGTGATTTTGTTGTGCGTACCGTTTCTGTGTGTTAGCAATTTAGACAGGGCATGTTATTTCAGCTCCATGATTTCTAGGGGCTCAGGTGGAAACGTAAATGGCTGGGAGGAGATCACTTCTACAATGATTTCCTCATTCACGTGTTTTGGCATTGTGGCCGGGGTGGACAGAACGCTGGGCTCACCTGATACTCTATTGACTAGAGCATCAACATGTGGCCTTTTCAAAATAGCAGCGTCAGGCTAGTCAGTCACCTCCATGGTCAGTGGCTTCCCCAGAGCCAGTGTCCCAAGAGAATCAAGCACAAGCCCCATGGCTTTTCTGGCATAGCCTGAGAAGTCACTCAGTGTCACTTTCACCACCACCTCCTGTTGGCTACCAGCAACTCATAAGGTAGCCTAGATCTGAAGAGGGAGGCAAGTTAGAGTTCCCTTCTTGATGGAGGAATGGCAAGGTCACATTGGAGAAGGGCCGGTGGGATGAGAAAGATTGAGGGGGAACACCTACCTTCAGAAAACACAATATGCTGCAACACTAAGTAAAATCATGATAAGGAGTCCCCAGCCAAATAGAATATTCCCTCAGGGTACCTTCACTTCTGTTTGTTAAGGCTTTTTCTTTTTTTCTGGAGGTGACACAAGGTCTTGCTGTGTTACCTAGGAGTACGGTGTAATGTAGTGGAGCAATCATGGCTCACTCTCTGCAGCCTCAGCCTCCTGGGCTCAAGCAAACCTCCCATCTCAGCTTCTAGGACTACAGGTGCACACCACCATGCCCAGCTAATTGTTCTATTTTTTTTTTTTTTTTTTTGGTAGAGACAGAGTCTCACTGTGTGTCCCAGGCTGGCTTTGAACTTCTGAATTCAAACCATCCTCCCATCTGAGCCTCTCAAAGCGCTAGGATTATAGGTGTGAGCCTATTCGCTCTTGAAAGCAAATAAAACTTTGTCCTGGGCTTTCAGGCTCCGTACCAATTGCCTGCCGCCTCAGAGACTTTACCTCTCCCTCTAATTGTTGCCATAGGCTTTTTACCTGTAGATGGATTCCATTACATTCCAGTATTCAGCACTCCCAGCCTTTGTCACTTCCAAGCTGGACAACCTGAGCAATCTCTTTAATCTCTATGAACCTCTCACTGTAGGCATGAGACAGTCAGGATCCTACAGCCCCCTACAACTCTCATTTTCTCTCAGTGCACGTGTGCACGTGGGTGTATCCTGTACAAGGGTCTTATTTTGCTATGGTAGATTCCTCCTTTTCCCCTCTTGACATAAGTGAATTTTAAGGTCCTTGGAGTTCCTCATCAGAGCCAGCCAACCTTCGTATTGTCAGTTCATAATTATTGCTGCTTCAGATCCCAAGTGTGCCTTCTGAAAGCAAAAACCACACATATTTTTATACATTTTAAGGTCCGAATAAGTAACATAAAAAGATGATGAGAATTTTTAATGAAAGCATCAGAGAAAAAAAGAGGGGAGTACCTATTTTCAATTACAATGTAGTTTCTGAAACTTCAGACTTCAGAATTTAAAAAAGCAAAGCCAAAACACCTGTGTGGAGAATAATTTGATAACATAAAGAATTTGGGAAATAGTTATTTCTTATTCCTATCAATGGTGGCAATGGCTTCCTTTTGTCAGTTTCTGCTTATGCATCAATGTTCAGCTCGGTGTCACCTGCTCATGGAATGAAGTAGGTCAGATTTCACCACTATGTAAATTCCTAGTACTATTTCTTCTTCTAACACCATCATTGTAATGGAATCAGTCCATTGTTGATTGTCTTTTACCTCTGTTTTTGTATAAGATCCATGAGTGCAGGGGTGGTCTGGCTAACTGATTATCTCCTCATTCCTACTACACTGCCTGGCTGCTAACAGGTGCTCAGAAAAGGTGGACTGTATGAAGGAAGAATGTGTAGTACTTCCAATCCTTTAGACTGAGATAGAGATATCACTCTATCCAATCATCCTAACTACCAGACCCTTTGAGATTTGCCTTCTCTCCAGCATGGCAGAAGCAGGTGCCCATAGACAAGAATGCTCCTTCTTCCAGCCTCCTCTCAAACGTTGCACACCAGGACAGTAGGAAGCTTATTGTTTTGCACATTTTGGAAAAGCATTTAATATTCCCGCGGACATTTTATTTGTGTTTTTCACCTAGAGGGTAAGATGGATTTCCTTTTTTTCTTTTCCTTTTTCTAGGAGAACATCTTTCTTTGGCCAATGTTGTTTTCTTCTTTTACAAATGAACATATTAGGGAATTTTTATGAACTTGGGTGCTCTCATCTCCATCACTCTTGGTTTACGATCTAGCTACAGGAAACTGCTTTTGCAGATGCAGCAGTGCCCTCTTGATTGTGTGTAAACTTTCTCCTGGCTCCAAGCCCAAGTTTCAAGTGGTGTTGAAAATGTCAGCTCCCTTGAGTAGGTCTCAACTGTTTAGTACCAAAGGATCAACTTTTTCTTACTCTCACCACTGCTAAATGGCACTCTATTCAGTGGCAGCAAAACAGAGCCAGCTTATCATGGAAACTGCAATTTGAAAGCTGGCATACAGTTCTTGTTTATATCTAGCTCAGGCTGGACTGTTATCACTGTTGATAACTGTACCTAACAAGTTAGAAATAACCAAGCTCAAGAAAGTATTCATACTTTCACCCTCTCTGTCAACATGAACTTTAAGATACTTACTAAGTTATATGCTCAAAAGAGAAGCTTGGTGGAAATATCATAGTCACTCAAAGGCCTGTAATATCTCTCTAAAAGGCATATCAAACATTTCACATCCATAGCCTCCCCATTCATTCATTCATTCACTGATTCATCCAGCCAGTATTTGTGATGCAAACACTATGTACCAAGTGCTGAGGATACAGCAGTGAACGTGAGAAGCGTCCTCTCTACCCTAGTATATCTTGTTCCATTTTATGAGAGAAAAAGCTAAGTATTGAATAAGTATTTGTTTAAAGCTCTTATGCTATCAGCAATGAGGTCAGGTATATTATACCTAAAGAGAGTTGATATATTTGCCACATGTGGGAGAAATGCATAAATTATTTCAGTAGTTTAAGACTGATTCTTTTACTTTTCCTTTCATTACAGAGATATATCTAACATGTATTTTGCTTACCACATGTTCTCACTTATAAGTGGGAGTGAAATAATGTGTACATATGGATTCAGAGAGTGGAATAATAGTCATTGGAGACTTGGAAAAGTGGGAGGGTACAAGGGGGATGAGGAATGAGAAATTACTTAACGGATACAATGTCCACTATTTGGGAGATGGGTATACTGACAGCCCAGGCTTCATCACTAGGCAATATATCCATGTAACAGAACTACACTTGTATCCCTTACATTTATATAAAATTTTTTTAAAAGAAAAAAAAAACACATTTTTCCTTGTACATTATCCCTCAGTTATCATGCTGTGAGTGCAGGACCACAGACAACTTTTGTAGGGTCTAGGTCATCTCCAAATCAAACTTTTGTTGAGCATCTGTGGTGTGGCAATCACTGAGCTATACTGTGGAGAGAATACCAAAGCGTAGTGGACCTGTTCAGAAAAGCTTGCCATGGAGAAGATGAGACAATGCAGACTGAACAACTCAACACAATGATTGACTATGGGAGGAGCTAAAGGGGACAGACATGGGCCTTCGTGCTGTCTCAGGAAGTACTCTATCCACTATATGTACTTCGTGATATTTATATTCAAGTAAAGTGAATATCTCAAAGTTAGCCTCCTAGTAAGTTTTCAGTAAACCACAATTGACCAAATTATTGCTGTAGATTTTCTTTAACTTTTATGGTGGGAAGAAATAGACTGCATATCCTGCGAAATGGCTTGGGAAAATATATGTTATATAAATGTCCATCAATAATAGACTGGATAAAGAAAATGTACCACATATACACCTTGGAATACTATGCAGCCATCAAAAAGGATGAGTTCATGTCCTTTGCAGGGACATGGATGCATCTGGAAGCCATCATTCTCAGCAAACTATCACAAGAACAGAAAACCAAACACTACATGTTCTCACCCATAAGTGGGAGTTGAACAATGAGAACACGTGGACATAGGGAGGGGAACATCACACACCAGGGCCTGTTGAGGGGTGGGGGGCTGGGAGGTGGGATAGCATTGGAGAATTATTTAATGTAGGTGACGAGTTGATGGGTGTAGCAAACCACCAAGGCACGTGTATAACTATGTAACAAAACTGCATGTTCTGCACATGTACCCCAGAACTTAAAGTATAATTAAAAAATAAATTAAAGAAATATATATATGGTATATATATATATATTGGTCACCAGTCAACCAGTCATTAGACAAGACATTTTATAAAACACTTTTTTTTTTTTTTGGAGGGACCCAAGATATGTGAGGATAAAATCTTAGGATTAGAATGGACCTTAATGACCATCTAACTTATTCCTATCTTGTGCAGAACCACCATTTCAGTATGTACCTGCACATTTCAATGAATGGAACACTCACCTACATGATAATAGCAACAAAAATACTCAGTGTTTTATACGCATTTACAGAACATATTTTCTCATTAAATCCTAGCAACCCTGCTAGTTTTCAGAAAAGCTCTAATTATTAGAAGGTCTTCTTTATACCAAACAGAATTTTCTTTCTTTTTTTTTTTTTGCAATGTCTAATTTATGATCCTGATTTAACCCTCTGGACAAAGGGAGAACAGGCTAATTCCTCTTTCACGTGACAAACTTTACAATATTTGAATGCGCTATTATGTTCTCTTTCTTTAATCATTCCTTCTTTTTTAGCATTGCCTTTCTGGGATCTAACCCTTCCTTTCTCTTCCACTTATTCGTGCTTGCCAGGCTTTCCAACAACCTACTTGCTCCTCTCTGAACACAATTTTACTATCTTCTTCTTTAAACTGGGACTCTGGGAATTGAATGCAATATTTCAGGTATCTGAGCAGCAAGTTGCACAGTGTGATTCTTACTTATTTTGATCAGGACATTTTCTTTATCAGGACAAATCTTGGCAAATCAGGACATTTGCCAACCAGGGACATCCACATGGCCTTAGCATGAATGGGAAATAAACTTCCATTGTGTTAAGCTACTGAAATTTGTGGTTGTGACTGTTATAGCTGCCAGCATTACTTGATGTAACTAACATAGCAGACGTTGAATGAGATGGTTGTTAATTTCCCTTTATCGTTGACATTCTAAAGCAGTGGTTCTCAATTATAGTGGTTCTCGATCTATAGCAGGTTCTCCTGCTAAATGGCTTGGGAAACTATATGTTATTTAAATGTCCATCAATAATAGACTGGATAAAGAAAATGTGCCACATATACACCTTGGAATACTATGCAGCCATCAAAAAGGATGAGTTCATGTCCTTTGCAGGGACATGAATGAAGCTGGAAACCGTCATTCTCAGCAAACTATTGCAAGAACAGAAAACCAAACACTGCATGTTCTCACCCATAAGTGGGAGTTAAACAATGAGAACACATGGACATAGGGAGGGGAACATCACACACCAGGGCCTGTCAGGGGGTGGGGGGCTGGGGGTGGGATAGCATTTTCTTTAGGATAATGGGAGGTATTACAGGTTAGAGTTGGGAGCATGGGCTCTACTCCTTAGCTGTGTGACTTTGAGCAAGTTACCTTAATCTCTGTTTGAGCTTTGCTTCTCTCATTTAAAATGTGAGAATCATAATATTTATGGAAGAGTTTTATTGTGAGAATTTAGCAAGGTAGTAAGATAATGCATGTATCCTCTTGGTACTATTAATAATAACGATAATTATATAGCTCAAGAGCTCTGCTTTGAGGCCAGAAAATCATACCATTCATCCAGATGAAGCCTTTCACCAACAGAACCCTCTTGGTTTCTCTTATCCATGAACTTTTAACTCTGGTCTCAGTCATCCTGTATAACAGTAGTTCTTCAAATTATTGACATATTAGAATCACCTGGAGAGAATTTAGAAATTCCAGTGCCTGGGCTATACCTCAGAAACCAAAGAAATCGTAATTTCGGGGTAAAGACCAAGTATGAGTACTTTCTCAAAGCTTTAAGATTTTTTTATGCACAGCTGAGTTTGAGAACCACTGCTTTAGAATGTCAGCGATAAAGGGAAATTAACAACCATCTCATTCACCATCTGCTATATTAGTTAGATCAAGTAATGCTGGCAGCTATAACAATCACAACCACAAATTTCAGTAGCTTAACACAATGAAAGTTTATTTCCCATTCATGCTAAGTCCATGTGGATGTCCCTGGTTGGCAAGAGGACTTCCAACAAAGAAACCCAAATTCTTTCTTCATTCTTAAGAGTTCTTCCTAGAAATTCATTGTATTAGTCAGGGTTCTCCAGAAAAACAGAACCAATAGAATACGGGTATGTCTATGTGTGTGTGTATAAAGTGTATATGTGTGAGTATAAAATGTATGTGTGTGTGTATAAAGAGAGAGAGAGAGAGAAAGGAAAGAAAGATTTATTTTAAGGAATTGGCTTATGTTTATGGAGGCTAGCAAGTCTATAATTTATAGAATAGGCCAGAACTTTGGAAACCCAGAGAAGAGTAGATGTTTCCATTCAAGTTCGAAGGCCATCTCCTACAGAATTCTTTTTTCAGTTGGGGGTGGTCAGTCTTTTGTTATATACAGGCCTTTAACTGATTGGATGAGGCACATTCTTGTAGGCAATCTGTTTTATTCAAAGCCCACTGATGTGAATGTTAATCTCATTCAAAAGTACCTTCACAGAAACGTCCAGAATAATGTTTAACTACTTATCTGGGCGTTGTCGCCCAGCCAAGCTGACACATAAAAGTAACTATCACAGTCATGTATGGGTAGGCTTCATTGACCAGCTCTGGATGTGATATTTACATCTGCCCGTATTCCACTGACTATTCTCAGTCACGTCACTATATCCATGGACAAAGGAAGCTGGGAAATGTTCAGGCACATGCTCAGGAAGAAAGGAAACAGGTGGGTGAGCATCTCGCCAGTCTATGCCACATCTGCATTTTTAAGACATGGAGACATAAATATTTGCTCTCATTAAATGATAGATTTGCGTACTTATTTCTTCTTTTTTAAACTGAAGTGCAGAACCTAATCTTTGTCTAATTTTTTAGCTTAGATTCATGTCTCTTTTTCTTTCTTTCTCTTTCTTTCTCTCTTTCTTTTTTCCCCTTCCTTCCTTCTTTTGTTTTCTTTTTTCTTTTCTTTCTTTCTTTCTTTCCCTCCCTTCCTTCCTTCCTTCCTTCCTTTCTTCCTTCCTTCCTTCCTTTCTCTCTCTCTCTCTTTCTTTCTTTCTTTCTTTTCCTTCCTTCCTTCCTTCCTTCCTTCCTTCCTTTCTCTCTCTCTTCCTTCCTTCCTTCCTTCCTTCCTTCCTTCCTTCCTTCCTTCCTTGCTTCTTCCTTCCTTCCTTTCTTCCTTTCTTCCTTTCCTTTCTTCCTTTCATCTCTCTCTCTCTGTCTGTCACCCAGGCTGGAGTGCAGTGGTGCAAACATAGCTCACTGCGGCCTCAAACTTCTTAGCTCAAGCCAGTCTTCCTGCATCAGCCTCCCAAAGTGCTGGGATTATAGGCATGAGCCAACCTGCCTGGCCCATGTCTCTTTTTTATTGCAAAAGAACCTTAATTATTAATATGATTGCAAAAGTATTAATAATACTAATAATTACATGTCATTATAGGAAGAGTCCACCTGCCCCAAGGTTAGAGCAGTTCTTCTGATAACCCAGGAGTGTTTGTAAAGAAAGCTGTAACCAACCCACATAATTACAGCCTAGGATTTCTTTCCCAGTATTTTCTTTCTTAAAAAAAAGGAGAAGGGGAGGAAGGGTGACAGGAAGGAAAAATAATTTTCTCTCAGTGATAGACTTTAGTTTCAAAAGTTCTTAACGCTGGCTCTACATTAGAATTATCTGGGGAGCTTTAAGAACATTCTGTGCCTGGACCCTATCTCTCTAGACATTGTGATTTAATTGGCCTGCAGTATGGTTCAGGCGTCAGTATTTTTAAAAAGATCTTTAAGTGAATGCAACCAGGGCTAATAATTACTTCTTTAGATCTCTAGGTTTATGTAACAAGGGTAAGAATTCCTTACTTAGGCCAAGATTGTTTCTTTTAAAAGTTTCTTTTATTAGCAGAGTTAAGATCTGGAGTTGCAAATTTGGGTATTTATTTAAATAACAAATACATTTTCTCCATGGTCTTTTCAAGTAAGCAACATAACAAAATGAAGCAGACCATATAGCAGTCAGGTGAAGAAAAACTAGATGATAGAAGCTCTGAAGTAGAAATTTACTTCCTATTTACAAATTAGGTTAGAGATTAGCAAATCCTGTGGTATCATGTGCAACAGAAACAGACAATATGGATTGTCACAGAAACAGCAATTTAGGATCTAGGTGATTTTGTTGAAGAAGCCCAAAGCAAGCCATCTGCTTCCTTGATTGGCATGATCCTTCCAACTGGTGGCTTTGAGATTCAGCTAAACCAAGAATGAAAAATTTTTGACATAATGTTTACATTTCTTAAGCTTTTAAAATAGGGGCATAATGTGAGTAAAGATATGTACCTTGTGAATAAAGGCTTAACAAAGGAATGCTTTCTTTCCCCTTCTGCATGAAAATTTGATCTTATCTTTCTAGCTCTGTTTCTCTGCAAACATACAAAGGTGGTATGTTTCAACTTTGTCACTAGGCAACATTGTAAAGTGATCCCTGATTGGTACTAATGGGTGTCATTCCTGTACTGGGTGACCTGTAAATACCTGAAAGGAAGCCATAACTCTGACCATCTCAGACTGTGACTCGGGTAACTGGCACATCTCTAGTGGGGTCCCTGCAAGCTCTGTGTATTCGTCTGTTTTCATGCTGCTGATAAAGACACACCTGAGGCTGGGCAATTTACAAAAGAAAGAGGTTTAATTGGACTTACAGTTCCATGTGACTGGGAAATCCTCACAATCATGGCAGAAGGCAAGGAGGATCACGTCACGTCTTATATGGATGGCAGCAGGCAAAGAGAGAGAGCTCGTGCAGGGAAACTCCTCTTTTTAAAACCATCAGATCTAATGAGACTTATTCACTACCACAGGAACAGCATGGGAAAAACTTGCCCTCATGATTCAGTTACCTCCCACTGAGTCCCTCCCACAACATGTGGAAATCCAAGATGAGATTTGGGTGGGGACACAGCCAAACCGCATCACTATGTCTATGAAGTTATTACAAGAGATGTGAGGCATGTAGCTTTTAAGTCATGATGCCCTCACACCAGCTGGATGTGAGCCTTGTAGCTCCTGACAGTGGGTGAACTACTGCAAAACTCCCCCAGAAAGCAGAGCACTTAATGCCTTTCCTGCTGGCAAGCTGCCTCTCTTGTCCTATAGCTTCTTAGCCAATGGTTCTCAAAGTGTGGTTCCCCAGTCCAGCAGCAGCAGCATCCCCAGAAAACTTGTTAAACATTCTAATTATGGGAGTTCAAGACCAGTCTTGCCAGCATAGTGAAACCCCATCTCTACTAAAAATACAAAAAAAAAATTAGCCAGGTGTGGTGGTGTGTGCCTGTAATCCCAGCTACTCGGGAGACTGAGACAGGAGAATCACGTGAACCTGGGAGGTGGAGGTTGCGGTGAGCCGAGATTGCGCCATTGCACTCCAGCCTGGGTGACAGTGTGAGACTCCGTCTCAAAAAACAAACAAACAAAAATTGTAATTCTGGGACCCCCCCACTTAAGTCTAAGGAGTCAGAAACCCAGGGGAAGGGGAAAGGACCCAGAGCAGCAGTCTGTTTCAACAGCCCCTCTAGGTGATTCTGACACAGGCTCAAGTGTGAGAGCCATTTCTCCGAGTGAACCCGATATCAAATGCAACTTATGTGGAGTTGAGTGTTTAGCTGAACACACAAAAATGATTTTCTCTGTTAGGCACTGTGTGTTAATTATACTCTAAAATACGTTAGGGAAATGCACTCACCTTCCCAATGGATGTGAAGTGCTTTCAGCATTTACTGGGGGCTCCGTTTGACAGGTATTGTACAGATAATAATAATATAAGGTTAGAGATATGGTTCCTATTTTGGTGAAACTCACTGAGAATAAATTTTACATATTAAATTCCATTTCCCCTAAAACAAAGATTCTCATCTGGACAAAGGGAAGGAAGGGAGGTGAAAAAAGATACTCGGGGCTCTTTTGCAGGAAACACATCTGTGCCCTTCCTCCTTAGAATCTGTCAGAATTTGAAGGTGAGGAAGAACATCATGCAATTATACACACACACACATATCCACATGCACACACATGAACACAGACACACAAATATATCTATTTATGTATAGTTTCACCAGATATTTGATTCTCAGATGAGTCCATCTTTTTATTAATGCTTCAAGATCTAGAAAGAAATACACCAGCTACATAGTTAGCTTTGCTTCTTTGAGTTTTGGAACTTGCAAAAATTGATTGAAAGCCTCCTGAAAGGTTCTCCTGCAAGAGAGAATTCTTTATTGTCAGTTTTCAGTGCTACCCTCTTGTGCCAAGTTTAAATGCTCTTGAATGGCCTGATCTGAACTGGCTCTGGTTTGAGAGAAAGGCAATTAGCTTATGCTTAACACATACATAGTTAAATGAGTAATTGGTGCCAACCGTGTGATTGGATAGCCCTTTAGATTTAATTAGAACCTTGATTTTTGCCAGTGAGCCACTTGAAAAGGTAAAAGGAAAGTCTAAAACGTGCATTTAGAAGGCTTTTGTTGGCACAGTGGATTTTCAGTCTTGGTGGAGTCTCTTGCTGATCCTATTATGGGGTGTTTTGAAATCATTTGGGTTTTAATTGAGGGAAATTTTTGCCAGTAGAATGAATTGCCATGACAGGGTCACAGTACAAATCTGCCTTTGCACCCCTACTTCCTGGATGACTGGAGACTCATAGTTTTAAGTGACCCCAACTGAATTAGTCTGCTCAGCTGCCACAGCAAAAACCACAGGTTGGGTAGCTTCAACAACAGACATTTATTTTCTCACAGTTCTGAAACCTAGAAGTCCATAATCAAGGAGCCAGAAAATTCTGTTTCTGGTGAGGGGGTCCCTTCCTGGCTCATAGCAGGTGGCCTGCTCACTATATCCTCACATGGCCTTTCCTCAATATGTGCACCTGGAGAGAGAAAGCAAGCTCAGTGGCTCTTCCTATAAGGACACCAATCCTATTGGATCAGGGCCCCACCCCTATGACCTCATTTAACCTCCATTACTTCCCTAAAGGCCCTGTGTCCAAATACAGCCACACTGGAGGTTAGAACTTCAACATATGAATTTGTGGTAGGACACAAATGTTCATTCTACAACACCAACTCAGCTGAAAATGCTGTAAGGGCAATTAACAATAATGAAATGGCTCAAATAACTAAGCAATCAGGGATAGCTATCAGAGTTGCTGGATTCAGGTTTAACTGACATTGTCAGGACTCTGTCCTATATTTCTCAGCATTGATTTTCATTCTTAGGCAGGCTGTCTTCAAGAGATGACAAGATGGCCATACCAGTTCCAAGTTTATATTCTACTGTCTACCTCAGTGAAAAGAAAACTTTATCTTACCAATTATTTCATTCAGATTCCCAGGATTATATCTCTTTCCATTTGTTTGGGCCACAAACTCATTCCTAAATCAATTACATTGAGAAGAAGAAGGCCAAGTGGTCAGACCTGGATTATGTGACCAGAAAAAAGGGTTGGGATAGACATGTTCAATAGCGTGAATAGGGAATAAAGAAGGAAAAGTAATGCAAAGAAAACCATATATTTTCTTAGAAGAGTGGGCCTTTCCCCAGAAAACTCTATCTCTCTTCCCACAAATATAACTGGTGTTGAGTAGGATACTGTTTGGGTTGGTAAAAACGTTTTTCTAAAAGTGAGCTGGGTTTACAGTCACGCCATGAACACTGTTTAAAAACTTAGTTACAATCATTCAGTACCAAATCAGGTATATTTTAAATTTATAAGATGAAACGCCATGTTTTACCTCTTTTTATTCTCATTTTTCTTCCTTTTTTTATTTTTATTTTATTTATTTATTTTTTTCTGAGACAGGGTCTCGCTTTGTCACCCAGGCTGGAGTGCAGTGGCACCATCTCGGCTCACTACAACCTCTACCTCCCAGGTTCAGCCTGTTCCCCTGCCTCAGCCTCCCAGGTAGCTGGGATGACAGGCACATGCCACCACGCCCGGCTACGTTTTTTTATATTTTAATAGAGATGGGGTTTCACCATATTGGCCAGGATGGTCTCGATCTCCTAACCTCGTGATCTTCCTGCCTCGGCCTCCCAAAGTGCTGGGATGACAGGCGTGAGCCACCGCGCCCGGCCTTTATTCTTACTTTTCAGTGTTCATTGAGGTTCAGTGAGGTTTGTCTATTTTTTGAAAACAATTTTGTTCACTCATGGTTACACATTAAACCAATGGAGCACTCTGGTCTTGGAGATGGTAGAAGTGCTTGTATAAGATTAAGCCTTCTACTGATAGCAATTATAAACTCTGGGGAAAAATAGAAAGAGAATTTTCAAGTTAATGAAAGCAACCAAATGCAGATGGAATTAGAGGGCATTTAACGCTTCAAACAAGGGAATGACATTGGTTAAGATACACACTGTTTTTTTCCCCTACGAGGACTTCCCGAATAATATCTCTTGGGTGGCTAGAACTGAGGCCAAAAAAAATTTTTGAAGTCCTATTTGCCTGAGGAGTCAGAAAGGAAGTTTAGAACAGCCAGAGCAGCTGGAAACTGGGGGAGGAAATACTAGAAAAGAGAGAGACATAGAAGGAGGGGTTGCACAATATGAACGTAAACTCCTCTCAAGTCCTTGGTTGACTCCTGACCTGCTCATTTATTCGGGAAATAGTCAAGGAGCCCTAGAGGAAACCAACAGTCAGAAGGCTGAAAGAGCCTAACAGAGATTTCAACTACTTCCTGTTGCTAAGAGCCAGCGTTTGAAGTATGAGTCCCGTGAAGTTAGAGGGCATTGATAACTATGTTGAACTTTTCACTGAAAACCTATAAGGGCCACTCCTAGTAATAAATACCATGTATCAAGACTGAGAGATGGCATAACTAAAATAGACATATCCTCATGAAACACATCAAGTCTCAGCATAGTCAGGGTGATTCATTAGTAATTTAATTGCCTGCTAGTACAAGACTCAATACTCTTCAAAGAGAGATAATGGATTCTAAAATTTTACAATGAATCATCCACAGTGCCACTATACAATCAAAAGTTATTTTGACCAGGGCACTCTAAAAATTATTAGACATAGTCAAGAAAAAATAATTTTACAGAAATATTTCTGATATTGGAGTTAGCAGACAAGTACTCTAAATTAACTATGATAAGCACATAAAGAATCCATAGGAAAAAATAGATATAATGGTTAAAGTTATAGTATCCATAGTTAGGATAAAGAATTGGGGAACTTCAAGAAAAATAAGAAAAATTTAAAAATAAAGCAAATGTAAATCTAAGAACTGAAATATATAATAGATGAAGCTTTAAAAAACGTACTGGATGAGATTAACAGCAGACCAGACACAACAAAAGAAGCAGTTTATTTGGTCACGAATCAATAGAAATTACCTAAAATGAGTCACAAATTTAAAAAAAGATTTTAAGAATGAACACATTCTCAATGATCTGAGGGACAGTATAGAGTGATCTGATATACTTTTATCTGTAGTCCTTGATGAAGAGAAGAGAGAAAATGAAGAAGAAAAAAATAGTTGAAGAAATTCTGGCTGAAAATTTTCCAAATTTGGCCTAAAACAGTCGCCCACAGATTCAAGAATCTCAGTCAATAAAGAAAACCACACCTTAAGCAGATCTGCTGAAGTCCAAAGGTTGAAAGAAAAATTTAAAAGTCAGCCAAAGAAAAAAAAAACATTATATATTGAATAAAAATGACAAGAATTGTTTAAACTAGCTTATACAATTGACATGTCATTGGATAATTGAGACCAGGCAACATGGAATGATAAGTTTCTAGGGCTGAAAATACCTTGTCAGTCTAGAATTCTATATTAAAGAAAATAATGTTTTTAAAATGAAGGCATAATAAAAAAAATTAAGATAAATAAAAACCGAGAGAATTTGTTGCTGACAGGTCTATAACATGAGAAATGCTCAAGGAGGGGGTCTTCAGGCTGAAAGGAAATGATACCAGATAGAAAATTAGATCTACTGGAGAGGCAAGTAAAAGACATTGTTAATACATAGATAAATATAAAGGCTATTTTTCTTGCTGGGCATGGTGGCTCGTGCCTGTAATTCCAGCACTTTGGGAGGCCCGGGGGGAGGATTACTTGAGTCCAGGAGTTTGAGACCAGCCTGAGCAACATAGTGAGACCCTGTCTTTACTAAAAGTAGAAAAAATTACCCAGGCATGGTGGCACACACCTGTAGTCCCAGCTAATTGGGAGGCTGAGGTGGGAGGATCGCTTAAGCTTGGGAAGTCAAAGCTGCAGTGAGCAGTGATTGCACTGCTACACTCCAGCCTGGGCATCAGAGTGAAAAAGAGTATTTTTCTTTTTAAAAAATTATTTAAAATTAACTGAATCTTCATACCTGATAAAGTACATTAATGACAAAGTATTGTGGAGTTTATAATCTAGGTAGAAGTAAACTTTAGCTACAACAAAAGGATTGTGAAGTCTGTACATGAAATTACACTGTAAGAAGTTCTTACATTATATATCAAGTGGTCTAATGTTAATTCAAAGTAAACTGATAAGTTAGGAATGCATATCAGAGTCACTAGGGTAACGACTAAAAGACTAATACAAAAAAGAGCACTAAAAATTCCACAGAGATGTTGAGTGTGACTGTGAGCAAGCAGGTGGGATGCTGACTAGTTCTTAGGCAGACTTCAATGACGTTCTGCCGTTTCCAGTTCTACGGCCAGCTTTCACCTCCTGTCATATTTGGTTCGCTTTTACATGAGTTCCGACAGCCTGAGTCAGCTAACTTGAAAGGAGATTCGCATTCAGAATTTGTTCTGATTTGTTTGTGATGAACATAAAGTAATGACTAGAGCAGAAGGTGTTTCATATGCTGTGCTACTGCCAGTGAGATTTACGGTCAGTCATGACACTACAAAGTCTCATACCCAAGGACATGCTTGTAAACAAAACATTATCTATCAGTGAGTCGTCATCCTTTGGAAGCATTCTAATAGACAGATGACACAACACCCCAAATGTGTTCTGAATCAGCACCATCAATGCAGAGCCCACTGCGTTTGTCTGAAGGTTATTCTCAGGTACATCTCACAAGCAGGTTGGCAATCATTGAGGATGAATAGAAAGCAAAATGAAACACACGCACAAGGACACTCAGATTGATGTAAAGGATCAGTCCATTTTCTCTGTGACTGATTTCAGGGACTTTGAGAAAAAGTCAAAGAGTTATCATCTAACCGGAGCTGTGGCCCACACAGCAGTGGGAGGAGGTGTGGCTTATGAAAGAGACATCTGTGATCTGGAACACAAAGCTGTCCTACAACAACGCGGAAGCCCTACTTATGTTCCAGGGCAGGCCATTCATTCATTAGACAGAATGTAGAGGACACCCTGCTGGTGAGGTGGGCACCTCGGGCAAATGGCCGAAAATCTGGGACTCTTGATTTCTTCAATTGAAATGAGAGATGGGTCTGAATGATATCCAAGGTCCCTGAGATTCTTATTCAGTGCTGCAGTCAGATGCAACTGAGTACTACCCTCCTGTGCAGACAGCTAGGAGCTTCCTCCTGTAAGCCCACCTTTTCCTCCAACTCTCCTACCCTGGCAGCTTCAGATTCAGCTTTTATTCACACCACAGGACTGGCTACATAATTTATGAGGTCCAGCACAAAATAAAAATGCATACGCTAATAAGAATTTCAGGATGGAAACAGCAGAGCATTAAACCAAGCACAAGGCCCTTTAAGCTTGGAACCGTGTGTCACCTCTCAGGTGACACACCCACGAAGTCGACCCTGTTCCTGGGTTTTGGATACAAACACTTGACTAGTGATACAGATTATTCTAAATGACAAAGAGGCAAATATTACATATCTGATGTTGGAATGTTTATAAACCATAAGTGAATACACTTCCTTCAGTGTATCCAGTTATTACATGTGTATTTGTTATTATTACTCAATTAGTACATGTATTCAATTATTACACATGTAATAATTAACTATTATTTATTAATTATAATTGAATAATTTATTACTCAATTATTACATGTATAATAAATGAATACATATAATAATTGAATAATAATCATTAATAATACACATGTAATAATGGATTGGTAATGATTAATGGGTGAATACACTCATTCAATTAATAATAATGTAATTGTTAGTAATGATATTGATTATTTATACTTGTATAACTTGTCACCGTACACAGAATGCTTTTCACCTAACGCAATTATATTGGATTTTTAGAATCTTGTGAAAAATAAAATTGTTTTCCACATTAGGAAACTGAGGCATCGAGACAGACCATGATTCAAATCCGTTTTTGTTTTAACTCTTTGTCCAGTTTCCTTTCTATGACACCATAACGCCTTGCTACATCAATGCCTTGGACTGTTTTTTAAGCTTGATGAAACATACAGACTTCCATTTAGAAACTTCAAAGTGCTCGAAGTTCAATTCCTTGTAGAAGATTGATTTGACCGGTTTTTATAAACAGGACTGGTGCTGCAGCTAGAAAATTAGCCTCAATTCAGCCAACCTTTATGAGTACCAACTGTATGCTAGGTCTTTGGTGATGTCCTCTTTTGTCAGGTACAGAGGACACTTAAAGGAATGGCTTTTGTCCCACCACCTCGTGTTGCTCACTACTCCAGCTACGGTGACGGTGACAGGTCTTCAGTTGCCACAAAGCTCAGGGATTTCTAAGCCTCACAATGAAGTTGCTGTTTCAGAAATAAAATGGCATGGTTCCCACATAATATGAGACTCTTATCTGACTAATATTGTGCTATGCCTGCCTTTCATTTCATGATGGAGTCTGGGTGGGCAGGGGATAGCCTAGTGAATAAACACACAGGGTCTGGAGTGCAATGGCGCCATCTCAGCTCACTGCAACCTCCCCCTCCCGGGTTCAAGTGATTCTCCTGACTCAGCCTCCCGAGTAGCTGGGATTACAGGCAAGCGCCACCACACCCAGCTAATTTTTGTATTTTTAGTAGAGATGGGGTTTTACCATGTTGGCCAGGCTGGTTTTGAACTCCCCACCTCAGGTGATCCATCCTTCTCGTCCTCCCAAAGTGCTGGGATTACAGGCATGAGCCCCACACCTGGCCAATATTTACTAAATTTTATGGAAACACTTAGAAGTACAGGTGGAGGCCTTTTCAGAGGACATTTAGTTTGGTTACCACAATTGACCTCTAGCCTTAAATTTTCTTATGTTGATCTATTACCAAAATAGTGTCTGCAGTTTATTCTTTATAGACTCACAGAGTAGAGATCCGGGGAGGTCCCTTCGCCCTGTGTCATCTGATTTCAGCCACTGCCTGCACATCCTCAGTGAGGCATGATTCCCATCTCACAAAGCAATCCCACTAGAAAGCTTTGCTTTTTATTGAGCTTCTATTTATTCTTTTCCACATCTAATCCTTGTACTTTGTAATCTGGGAAAGTCATAGTAAATATTCCATGGAATGTGTTTGCTATTATTTTCATGGCCACACTCCAAAGCAGCAGGGCATATGTTTCATGCTATTTAAACTGAACTTTACGAAGGGTTTGAAGTCCTCACTCAAACTCTCATGTTCTACCCTTCTTTCTGTTATTTAGCCATAAATCCATCAGACTTTTCTATTCATTGTTCCTCTTTAAAAATGGTTGCATTCCTGGAGCCGGGCGTGGTGGCTCACGCCTGTAATCCCAGCACTTTGGGAGGCCGAGGTGGGTGGATCACGAGGTCCGGAGTTTGAGACCAGCCTGGCCAACTTGGTGAAACCCCATCTCTACTAAAAATACAAAAATTACCGGGGCATAGTGGTATAAGCCTGTAAGCCCAGCTAGTCAGGAGACTGAGGCAGGAGAATCACTTGAACCTGGCAGGCAGAGGTTGCAGTGAACCAAGATAGCACCACTGCACTCCAGCCTGGGCAACAGGGCGAGACTCCATCTCAAAAAGAAAAAATATATATATATATGGTTGCATTCCTGGTCATGCTAACCTTTTTCCTCAAGGCTCCATTTTGCCCAAAACAGAATACAATAATTTAAGTGCAGTTAGAGAAGCTTTATCAATTCTCATGTTCTGGACCCTATTCTCTAAGATCACATTAATACTTTTTGACAATGACATTACATTATTGATTCATTTTAAGTTACTTTACATCTGTTCTTCACCTATAGAATGGAGATACCAATAAGGTACTCTAAAGATTCTGTCAAGATTAAATGAGTTAATAATATATTTTATTTTAATTTTCTTTATTTTATTATTTTATATTTTGGAGACAGGGTCTGGCTCTGACACCCACGCTGCAGTGCAGTGGCATGAACACAGCTCACTGCAGCCTCAGTCTCCCAGGCTCAAGCAATCCTCCCACCTCAGCCTCCTGAGTAGCTGGGACTACAGGTGCATGCCAGGCTGCCCAGCTAATTTTTAAAATTTTTCATACTTACATGGTTTTGCTATGTTGCCCAGGCTGGTCTCAAACTCCTGGGTTCAAGTGATCCTCCTGCCTCAGCCTCCCAAAGTGCTGGGATTACAGATGTGAGCCACCATGCCCAGCCTCTAATGATAAGTTTTAAATTATTAGAACAGTGCTTGGTACATGATAAACTCTTGATAAGTGCTACCTACTATTATCATTATTACAATTACTATTATTAATGGTAAATTAAAACTCCTAAGTCTTATTTGTACTAATGTTTATTACATTCTCCCCATCCATTCTCATGGGGATTTCATTTTTATTTTTAAGGTAAGCTCGCGGTTTGTTAAATATCACCTTGCTAAATTTCCATTATGCCCACTTATCTGAATCAGATCCCTTTATTCAATACATTCTGTGTTCCTCTAGGCTGAGCGTTATCACACATAGATAAGTGTGTCATCTGTGTGCCCCAGGCCATCAAAGCACTGTTAAAAGTGGCAGAGTGGACAGTGCCTCAGACAGTGCCCCAGACAGTGCCCTGCGGCAGACCACTAGAGACATCTCTCTAAGTTGACACTGATTTAATAATTAATTTTCTTTGGGAACAGACACTCCACCAGTAAATAGCCCACCAGAATTTACTATCATCAGCCTGTATCCATGAGAACATAGTTTCTGCATGGACAGATGCAGGCGCAGTCCTTGCCTCCACTGGAGCACCTGTTCTGCCTGAGCGCTGATAGGTTTCTGTCCGTCCCTCTGACATCTCTTAGGTAAGCTGTTACAGCACAGGATAAGCAGTTAAAACAGTCAAGCATTCTCTTACCTTGCCTGGCTATCTCTCTATTAATTGTATTTATCATCTCTTAAGGTTTCTCTTACGAAACCTTTGTTTCTTAGAGAAACAAAGAAATCTCTTTGTTTGCCAGACCACGTCGGCAAATTGGAAAGAACACAGGGATTGTTTGAACAGCTTCTGTAGTGTTGCCGAGGATGTTTGGACTCTTGTTTCTGATGCTGGCATGAAGATGGGGAGGGGGACACAGGTGAAATAGGGAAACTGTGCTAGATTTGCACCTGGGATGTTCCTCTTTGTCATGACGGAGGTAACTACATGGGGGCGGGGCTGACTGGGAAGGGCTGAGGATTAAAATTAGACCAGCTCATTGAAGTGCTTATTTTCACCTAGACAACACATCTGAGGTAGGTGTTGGGAGGAAATTCAATCAGCCAGGTAGAACACACACACAAAGCACAGCAGACAGAATTGCTGCCGTTTTCCCATCTTTCTTGCCAGCAGTGTCGTGGTGTGGTTCCGAAATGCCTCCTGTCCCTGTGCATTACTAAGCCTGGCGTAGTCATCCCAACCCTATCGTCAGGGCGTGGCTTAGACATGGCCATGAGACTCATGGTTTGGGGTTGGGATTATGTCATATTCTCAATGCAAGAATTACTACTCTTTCTATTTTCAAAAAAGGCAAAGATGGTCCAGGCGCGGTGGCTCACGCCTGTAATCCCAGCACTTTGGGAGGATGAGGCAGGTGGATCACAAGGTCAGGAGTTCAAGACCACCTGGCCAGGATGGTGAAACTCCCATCTCTACTAAAACTACAAAAATTAGCCAGGCACAGTGGCGGGCGCCTGTATTCCCAGCTATTCAGGAGGCTGAGGAAGGAGAATCGCTTGAACCTGGGCAGCAGAGGTTGCAGTGAGCGGAGATCGTACCATTGCACTCCAGCCTGGGTGACAGAGGGAGATTCCATCTCAAAGAAAAAAGGCAAAGATGTCAGCATTTCTCCACACAACCCCAAAACAAGTAAAGCAGAAAGTGTCAGCCTGCATTTTAATCTTGAGCATTGAGCCAGTCTTTTCTTTTTCTAGTGGCAGTAATTTAGTGGATGTTTCATTCGAAGGTAGTTTATGGACAACTGCTTCCAAACGTGTGGAAGATTTTGGAGAATAAGATATTTAAAAATTGCAAAATGTCTTCTACTTGAACATTTCAATTGATTCTTTTGGTGCGTTTGGTTAATGAAGCTTTTTGAACAAGTCCATTATAACTTTCTTTGATATTACCTTTTTAATTTTATTCCTAGCAGTTATTACAGCCTGAAATTTTCTTTTGTTTGTTCATTTGTTTGTTAGTTCTCTGTCTCCCTGAGCTAAATGTGGGCTGCATGAAGACAGTAGTCTTGTCTGTCTCATATTCCAGTGCCTGGAATATATAGGTGTTTAGTAAACCTTCACTGAATGAATAATCAGATTTCATAGCTATCGGTCTGCATGATATCAAAATGTAAACTATATGTACATAGCTGTATATTTACGCATATATATATATGCATTTTAAAGTGCATACTCCATACCTGGCACAGTGATGAACAAAGCATGCATAATTCTTGATCTTTAGAAGGGAAAGGGGAAAGAAAGAGAGAGAGAGAAAGAAAGAAACAAAGAGACTTTGGGAGGCCGAGGCGGGCAGATCACGAGGTCGGGAGATTGAGACCAACCTGGCTAACACGGTGAAACCCCGTCTCTACTAAAAATACAAAAATTAGCCGGGCGTGGTGGTGGGCACCTGTAGTCCCAGCTACTCGGGAGGCTGAGGCAGGAGAATGGCGTGAACCCGGGAGGCGGAGCTTGCAGGGAGCCCAGATCGCACCACTGCACTCCAGCCTGGGCAACAGAGCGAGACTCCATCTCAAAAAAAAAAAAAAAAAAAAAAAAAACCAGAGAGAGAAAGAAGGAAGAAAAGGAGAGAGAGAGGGAGGGAGGGAGAAAGAAAGAAGGTAAATTGAGACAGCACTAAGTGCTATGGAGAGAATTAAAGGTGAGCCATGTAATGTGGCTGAAGAATTAGGTTAAATTGGGTGTTCCCATGGCCTAAGGGGGTGACATTTAAGTTAGGGTTAACATGGAGAGGTGAGCAGGAAGAGAGTTTCAAATCATGTGAGAGCTAGTCCCAATGCCGTAAGGAGGAAATGGGATTGGTGTGTTTGAGGAACTGAGGAAGGGCAGCTGGGAGTATGGTACATGAAAAAGACCGTGACAAAGAATAAGATTGGGCACATAGATGGCAGTTCCATCTTCTCACGTTGTATGCCAAAGTAAGAAGTTCCTAATTTACTGATAGCAATGTGAACCCAATGAGAAACTTTTAAAAGAAGAATGAAGCCATCTGGTTAAGTATTTAAAAGTTCATTCTTTGGGAGGCTGAGGTGGGCAGATCACGAGGTCAAGAGATTGATACCATCCTGGCCAACATGGTGAAACCCCATCTTTACTAAAAATACAAAAATTAACCAGGTGTGGTGGTGGGCACCTGTAATCCCAGCTACTCAGGAGACGGAGGGAGGAGAATAGCTTGAACCCAGGAAGGGGAGGCTGCAGTGAGCCGAGCGCCACTGCACCCCAGCCTGGTGACAGAGCGAAACTCTGTCTCAAAAAAAAAAAAAAAAAGTTCATTCTTTAAGTCATGGGGCAAATGGATCGTAACTGGGTAAGAATGGCAACAGCAAAACCAATTAAGAAGCTGTTGCATTAGTTCAGGCCAGAAATAATGGTCCATGGGACCAGGGTGATTATAATGGGGATGCCTAGAAATAGATTATCTCAGGTGTGTTTTGGGGGCTGAGTCAACTGAATTTGCTAGTGGGTTAAACATGGGGGCATAAATGTAAAAAAAAAAAACACTTACGAAATTACTGTCTAGAAATTACTGCCAAATTTTTGGCTTCAGTAACAAACTGCACAGTTCTAACAAGTCAGCTGTCTTGTACCTCTCCATAGGTCTATTAATATTTGTCTAGCCTGGGAATTACCAAGACTCTTTACCCTTTGTTCTCTCTCATTACCTGGGACCTTATTAGTATTATTCATAGGAGCATCTTTAAAGTTAAGATTAGGAAAAAATCAAGATAGTATATCCTGGCCAGGTGCAGTGGCTCACGCCTGTAATCCCAACACTTTGGGAGGCTGAGGTGGGTGGATCACCTGAGGTCTAGAGTTCGAGACTGGACTGGGCAAGATGGTGAAACTCTGTCTCTACTAAAAATACAAAAATACAAAAATTAGCTGGGTGTGGTGGTTGCATGCCTGTAGTTCAGGAGGCTGAGGTAGGAGAATCACTTGAACCTGGGGGGTGGAGGCTGAAGTGAGCCAAGGTCGTGTCAGTGCACTCCAGCCTAGACAACAGAACAAGACTCTGTCTCAAAAAAAAAAAAAGTATATCCTACAAATGCTAATTAATTTTTTCCCACTAGCTAATTGGTTTATGAATAAGAAAGATGTTAAAAAATGATGACAAATGCAGTCGGTTACAGTGGCTCATGCCTGTAATCCCAGCACTTTGGGAGGCCGAGGCGGGTGGATCATGAGGTCAAGAGATCGAGACCATCCTGGCCAACATGGTGAAACCCCGTCTCTACTGAAAAAAAAAAAAAAAATTAGCTGGGCGTGGTGTGCATAGTGGTGTAATTCCAGCTACTCTGGAGGCTGAGGCAGGAGAATCGCTTGAACCCAGGAGGCAGAGGTTGCAGTGAGCCAGGATGGTGCCACTGCACTCTAGCCTGTTGACAGAGTGAGACTCCATCTCAAAAAAAAAAAAAAAAAAATCACAAATGAATTTAGGGGATCTATGGATTCTATTACTGATCCTTGAATTTTATGACCATAGATAAAAAGGGATGAATCTATTAATAAATAAATTTACTTTTGTGTAACTGTGTTTATATAATATATGAGTATACATATACATATGTGTATATTATTTTAAACTCAACAGTTCTGATAGCAAGATGTTCTAATATGAATTAGTCCAAAGTATTTTGAGGTGCTCAAATGGAATATTTTATTATCGATACTGTTTAACTATATCATCTCACATAATTGCTGCTCTATGTAAAGCCTATTTAAAACATTAGTGAAAACCCCAGAGTGTGCCATCATTAACATTGCTTTTCATAGGCTCATTCTTTTTTTTTTTTGCAGAAAATAAGAAGAATAAAGAAACAACAAAAAGACACTTGAGACAATGGTTTCTTCTCTTTTGTTGATAAATTTGTCTGACTTTTAAGGAGAACTCTCTAAGTTTAATTCTTTTGTTTTTAAACATTTCTATTATAAATTGGCAGATATCACAATTATTACCTTTTCAGAGAGAAAGGAAAAAGAATGCTAGAGTTACCTTAATTTTGATTTTTGCTAAATGAATTTCCTCTTTATTCACTAAGAAAATTGTCCAATACCCACCTAAAATGTATGATATGCAGTACATATTTTAAGAACTTGCACACCACATCTTATCTATCCACCCCCTGCAGCCCATCTCTGTGACCTAGAGGATAAAATAATTCTCTAGAACTTGGTGAGCAAATGCAATAGTTTGGTCTTTTCTTCTACAACTTTTTATTCCTCTGGGATCCTTTCAATCCAATGAATTACCCTCCTCCTTGGGTGTTGACTGTGATTCTTGAGCTCCTTTCTTTGTGCCATTTCTGAGAAAATTTCACCATAAATGGTTCCATCCCTCCTTCTCTATACACACCTGTGTTCCTCCCATCATTTCAGGCTCATTCTTTCTAAAGTTTCCTTTAAACTCTCACCTAACAAACTGGGCAACTCCTATAGTATTTACTTTTGGTAATATTTGGCATTTAGTTGATATCTTCAGATTGTTGGCCATTTGAAAGGGCAAGAGTAGCTCCTGTTGTATTTGACCTTCAGGTTATCATTTCGGGAAGATAAGTTTTTACTGTTTCTGATTAACTTCCTTGTCTGGACTGTGCATGTTATACCCTTTGGTTGCCAATAACAAAGATATGAAAATTGTAAAATCCATCAAAATTTATAACTGTATCTTCATTATCTAGAAATGTACCTGCCATGAACGAACGAATAAATGAAAAGAGAGGGGATTTATTATATTTTAATTTTTAAAAATTGAGTTGTGGAGTTATGGCACTGGTTTGGTGATTGCCTGTTTGTGTTTATCAAGAGACAGGGATTATGTCAGGCAAGATTCTTAATTTCAAGCCATAGGATCTTACTTTGATTGGTTTAAACAGAAAACTGTTTGTTGAAATGATATTCTTTGGAGTACCTGGTGCTCACAGAATCAACAGAAAACCAGAGGATCTATCTTGGAAAGAAGCAGAACTCAGGCCGGGCACGGTGGCTCACACCTGTAATCCCAGCACTTTGGGAGCCCGAGGTGGGCAGATCACAAGGTCAGGAGATCGAGACCATCCTGACCAACACAGTGAAACCCGTCTCTACTAAAAATACAAAAATTAGCCAGGCATGGTGGTGGGCACCTGTAGTCCCAGCTACTTGGGAGGCTGAGACAGGAGAATCGCTTGAACCTGGGAGGTGGAAGTTGCAGTGAGCCGAGATCACGCTGCTGCACTCCAGCCTGGTGACAGAGCGAGACTCCATCTCAAAAATAAAAATAAAAAAAGAAGCAGAACTCAAGGTAAGTCTCGTGGCAGCCAAAAAATGCAAATGTGATCGAGTGGAAGGAAGGTAGTGCAGGATGGAATTTATGGCCTGGGTTTCAATGAGAAAAACCACAGGTAAAATAATTTTCTAGGTAGCAAGATCACATGCTAAGTGATCAGAACAAAGCAACTCAGGATGGACCCCTCAAGAGCTGCTAGATTCCTTCTATTTTTAGTGCTGCACCTCAAATTAGTTGTCATTATTCTTACAGAAATGTTAAAGCTCAGAAAATGATATCCCAATATGAGGGACTCAGAAGCATGTTTCTCTGACCTCGTTCCCTCCTGTCTCTGGCCTCTTACTCTCCCCCAAGGTTAGGCATAGAAACTAGAATTCCCCTTCCTGAAGGCGGGTCATAGAAGCCAGAACCCCTTTCCCCTAAAGCCAGCCATAAAACCTAAAAATACTACTCTAACTGCCCCCTACACTCCTCCCCACTTCTGTATAAAAACTAGCCGTAAAGAACTTATCTGACTTGTTTGACTGTAGGTCATAACACCTGCATTCCAGAGAGGGGCCTGCCTCATACCCAGAAGGAAGGAAAGCTTCAGAGAGGCCCAGAAATCTAAACAGACAGGCGTTGCTGAGCTTCCCCACTCAGTCTGTTACCATTAGATCATTCCCTTTTTGCCCAATCGTGTTTCAACACAGCTGTTCATCCTTTGTTGAATCTAAGCATAAAAATGGACAATTTCTCCTGTCTCTTTGGCTCTTCATTCTGAAGGCTCCCGTGTCATGCAAAACTATGACCAAATGAATTTGTATGCCTTTTCTCTTGTTAATCTGCCTTTTGTCAGTGATTTTCAGTGAACCTTCAGAGTGTGACAGGGAAGTTTTCCCTTGGCCCCCACAGAAAGAACTATTTTCCTATTAGGGGATGGGGAAAATGAATTAAAATTGTGTTTGTTTCATAGGTGAGCTATTTCTGGACTAGTAAATGCTACAACTGATGTTATTTTGTTATTGTTCTTTTCTGTGTTTGCAAGTTCCACAGAGACAGGTACAGAAATACCTCTTTTGTCATTAATATCTATCATAAGATCTGAGTAGGTATTAATGTAAGAACCTTGATAATTTATTCATTCACCTCCTCAACAGTTACAGAGTCAAACTGTTGTGGAAGTAACCCAATTAGGGTGTCTCTGTGTGTGTGTGTGTGTGTGTGTGTGTGTGTGTGTGTCTGTGTGTGTCTGTGTGTTTGCAGGGTTGAGGTAGTGGGCTGAAATAGATTATTCACATTCTCAGCTGAGAGCTTGCAGTCTTTTAGGGAGACACATATAAACAATTAGCTGTAGAAATTATTTTGCGAAGTATAAAGAAAATTGACTTTGGAATCCCAAAGTCTTGGATTCTGATCCTGGCTCCTACGTTTACTTCACTTTAGTAAGACCTCGGGTGAACCATTCAGCCTTAATTAGACCAAGTTTCTCATCTCTAAAATGTAAAGTTGCTGTGAAGATTCAACTAATGAGGATTAAATGAATTATAGCATATAAAGTACCTATTCAAATGCTTGACACAAAGTAGACAAAAGTAGTTTTATTTTTAAGTTCTTATATATGTATTAAAAAAAAGTGGTGTTGGTTCTGAAATGAAGGGCTAATTTATTCTGATTGTGAAGGCCAGGGAAGAAATTTAAGGATACATATCACTTTGGTGAGTACAGAAGAGGCAAAAAGTTAGAAAATCATGGGTTTATGGAAATGCAGGAACAGTGCACACTCTGGTGAGGCTCCAGTGTAATTTGTATGATGCTATTTCATGGTGGATGGTTCTGGAAAGGAACCGTCCTTTTAGGTTGACAGGCCAAGGAGTTTGTTCTTTATTCTGCTTTTATGTAGGATGACTAAAGGCAGGAAATTTTCATGATCTGACACACCTTTAGGAAAAGAAGTCCATTAGAGAATGAAAGATGCATTGCAGAAATTAGATCCATGAGTAGCAGATCAGTCAGGAAACTCTTGAAATCCCTCAGGCAGATGAACTGAATTAGAGAAGTGGGGTAGGCATAGTGACAAAGGGACATTTCAAAGGATATTGGGGTGGTAGAATTAACAAGATTTGGCAAGTGAACCAGAGAAAGCTGATGATTCCCAGGTGTCTTACAGAGGTGACCAGAAGTGGTAATCAAAGTAAAGAATATAACATAGGGAGAAGGTATGGGGAGGAAAGATGATTTCTCTTTTGATAGATTGGGACTGATGTATCAACAGGACTTGAAGATATCAGCAGGTAGTTGAAAATCTTGGACTGGAGTTGGGGAGAAAAATTAGGGTTGGATTTTGCACTTGGAAGTCTGGACATGGAGGTGATCAGATGAAACTAACCAGGAATTGAATGAGAAAGTGCAGTGAGAAATTTAATGAGAAACTGAGGAGAGTTGGGGGCAGAACAGAATCTTGGGAAATGTCTTCATTCAAAGATGAACAGAAACTAAACTAAGCAATAATCCGGGGGCAGTGGATGAAATTCAGGAAGGTCTAGACTCATGGAAGCTAAAGGAGAGGGAGCTTTAGGAAGACGGTTTTGGTTGCCTGCAGTTATGGTCCTGGAACTCCACTGTGAAACAAGAGGTTGGAGGGGCAGGGGAATGTGTTGCTCTTAGTTTCCACATGAGAAAAATTAGGATGCAAAGGATGTAGGGAAGGAGCTAATTTAAGTCAACCAGTGCATCCCTATTAGAGCCAGAATTAGCATCTGGGTTGTCTGACTCCAGCTTGAGTTTGTCAACCTCTTTGTCAAAGATTTTCTGAATGATCAAATCATGGGAAGAATTTGATCTGGGTGTTGGTTACATGGACGTGTTTAGTTTGTGAAAATTCATTGAGCAGTACCTTTAAGATATAAATAAGTATTTTTCTGCCGGTTTGCAGCAATTAAAAGCTTTTTTTAAAAAAATCATGGGAAAGAGAGAGAAAAGGAACACTTTTTGAAAAAAGTAAGGTAATATTTAAATATCTCATTAATGTAAGCTTCATTAATTTTTTGTTATTATTTTCAGTTCCAGATCACCTGTTATAGTTGTTTGTGTTAAATTTGGGGTATAATTTATTTTCACATGAGATTAACTTCAGTGGTCGCCTTAACTGAAGGAACCAAGGCTTTGGAGTTGTTACTAATAATTTCAGTAAAATTCATCTAACGTTTATTTTGTATTTATATGTTAGGGTTATTACATTGTATAATTTTATTTAATCTTCATACAGGCAGAGGAAGCAAGTACTTCTGCCACCCACATTTTGCAGATGAAGGATCTAAATGCTAGACATGCTATATGACCTGTCAAAGGTCCTACAGCTAGCAGGCAGTACAGCTTGAATTCTAACCCCTTCTGTGTGATGATAGCAGTAGTTTTTCTGATTGACGGACTGAGGTTCATCAATATCCTGACACTGACTAGTTGTCAGCTAAAAACAGAGTAACTATATTTATTTTCATCTAGAGAAACATAGTAGATATCTGCTGTTGTTTTCATTCCCATCATCCTTTCTCTTTTTTTTTTTTTTCTGGAAGCCACAGCTTATTTTGAAAGGGAAGAGGACTAGACTTCTGTCATTCATTCCATTAAAATCCTCACATGTTTTGGCTTTTTCTTGCCTTATTGCATTGACTAGGACCTCTTGTACATGTCAAATGTAAGTAACACTGGCATTTTTTACTTTGTTCTTGATTTTAGAGGAAAAATTTTTAATATTTTACCATTCTGTATAATGTTTGCTGGAAGTTATTTCTAGATACTGTTTACTAAATAAATAAAGTCCTTTTTTTTTTGAGACAGTCTCACTCTGTCACCAGGCTGGAGTGCAGTGGCGCAATCTCAGCTCAGTGCAACCTCAGCCTCCCAAGCAGCTGAGACTATAGGCATGCCACCACACCCAGCTAATTTTTGTATTTTTTTTAGTACAGATGAGGTTTCACCATGTTGGCTGGGATGGTCTTGATCTCTTGACTTCATGATCCGCCCGCCTCGGCCTCCCGAAGTGCTGGGATTACAGGCGTGAGACCGGCCAATAAAGTCTTTTTTTTTTATTCTTTGTTTGCTAAGGGCTTTTATTATAAATAAATCAGATAAATAATCAGATGACTTCTTTTTTTTACATTTCTTGAGATGATTGTTTCCTTTTATTCTCTTCATATGGTGAATTACATTAACTGATTTTACATGTTATGCCAATTTTCCATTCTTGGAATAAACCGAACTAGGCTGTTTGGTTGTATATTATCTTTTTTCTATATTAATGGATTTGGTTAGCACAAATTTGTAATATTTTTGCATACGGGTTTATGACAATGATTGGTGTTTGATTTTTCTTGTAAAGTCCTTGTCAGGTTTGATATGAAGATTATGGTAACCTCAAAAAAACAGCTGGAAAATGTTCCACGTTTTTTCTGTTTCCTGAAAGAACTTAACGTAAGATTGGTATTTTGTTTTTCCAAATGTGTTTGGTAAAATTTACCAGTAACAACACTGAGGTTATAGATTTTCCTATGAAAAGTTTTAAAATTATAAATGTATTTTCTTTCACAAATATAGAAATATTCATATTTTTAGAAATGATACGTTTTCTTGTGTCAGTTTAGTTAGCTTGTGTTTTTTCAGAAATTTGTTCATTTTATGTCAATTTTCAAATGCATTGGCATACAGCTATTCAAAATATTCTATTACCTTTTTAATGCCTATGTGAGCTGTAATAATCTCATTGTTCATTATGGATTTTTTTCTGCCTTTTTTATGATCAGGGTATTGACAAGTTATCATCAACTATATTAGCCTTTTCAAAGAACCACCTTTTTTCTTAGTTATTCTTCTATTATGTGTTTGCTTCAGTTATATTGATTTCCACTCTTATTTTTTATTGTTTTCTAGTTTTCACTTTATTTGCATTTAATTTGCTCTTTGTTGATTTTTTGAGTTTAGTGCTTAATCGTTGATTTTTCAGCCTTTGTCTCATGTATATATTAAATATAAATTTCTTTCTAAGCATGACTTTACCTGAACCTTACAAGTATTGAGATGTTACATTATCATTATTATTTCAAACTATTTTTAAATTTCTCTTGTAATTTCTTCTCTTGCTCATGAATTATTGAAAAATAGTCTATGTTCCAAGTCCATGATATTTTCTACTTATTTTTCTTACCCATTTCTAGGTTAACTCCATTTAGGTTGGAAAATATACTTCACATTTCCAAACCTTTGAAACTAGGTAGGTAGGTAGGTAGGTAGACAGATAGATAGATAGATAGATAGATAATGTTTAATTTTGGTAAATTATGCATTTGGGAAGAATATTATTATACAGTAGTAATGTTTTGAATATTTCAACTAGATCAAGTTTGCAATCTTTTTTTTTTTTTTTGGTCTTTTATCTCTTTACTGATTGTTTTTTTCTGCCTGGTCCATCAGTTAATAAGTATATGTATGGAAATCTCTCACTACAATTTTGAATTTTTATATATCTCCTTTTACTTCTAATAATTTACCTTTGTATATTCTGACACTATTTATTAACTGTGCACAAGTTTTAAAATGTGTCTTCCTCATGGATTGACTGTTCTATCATTATGGAAAGTGATCTTTATCTCTAGTGGTGCTTCTTGCTATACCATCTACTTTGAGATTAAGATACTTTGATTAGGCCGGGCGCGGTGGCTCACGCCTGTAATCCCAGCACTTTGGGAGGCCGAGGCGGGCGGATCACGAGGTCAGGAGATCGAGACCATCCCGGCTAAAACGGTGAAACCCCGTCTCTACTAAAAATACAAAAAATTAGCCGGGCGTAGTGGCGGGCGCCTGTAGTCCCAGCTACTTGGGAGGCTGAGGCAGGAGAATGGCGTGAACCCGGGAGGCGGAGCTTGCAGTGAGCCGAGATCCCGCCACTGCACTCCAGCCTGGGCGACAGAGCGAGACTCCGTCTCAAAAAAAAAAAAAAAAAAAAAGATACTTTGATTAGTATTTTTATGGTATATATATTTTCTATTTTTAGTTTCAACTTTTTTATATTCTTATATTTAAGGTGAGTCTCTTGTGTCATATAATTATTTTTTAAATCCAGCCTGAAAATGTTTGTTATTTAATTGGAGTGTTTAGTCCATTTACATTTAATGTTATTGATATATTAAGTTTAAAATCTAGAACTTTACATTTATTTTCTAATTAACCCAGCATATTCCTTATTTGTTCTTTTTTTTTTTTTTTTACATTCTTTTGGATGGATTCAGTATTATTTATTTTTCCCTTTCTCCCCAGTACTAGCTGGTCAGATACACATTCTTTTACCATTGTATTAGTGCTTACCCTAGCTTATGAAATATAATACATCCCTGAAATTCAAGTCTAACATAAATTACTATTTTTACCAACACCAACTCAATGCAAAAGTTAGAATACACTTTAGCCTCATTTACCCATACTCTAATTTATGTTCTCATGTGTTACAATTTTCTAAATACTTAAGAATCCATAAGACTTTAGTATTATTGTTTTATAGTCAATATTCACTTGTGTTTATCCACATATTTACTCCTTTTAGTTACTCTTCATTCCTTTCTGCATCGCCAAATTTTTGTTCTTCAATAAATTGTATCACCTTATTTAATCTTTTAAATATTTTAATCACTGTTATCTTAAAGTTCCTATCAGATAAATACAATAACTGCATTTCTCATGGATATTTGTGTGCACTGTCTGGTTTTTCTTTCCCTCTTGTTAGCTGGTCAAATATTTTTAATATGCTATTTTGAGGCTTAAATGAATGTTTTTCTCCATGCTCTCTGATGACTTCAAACAGATGGGGTTTTTTTTTACACATTTTTTAGTACAAATTTACTTCTTCTTGAATATCCTTTAGTATTTTCTCTGTTCATCTGCTGCTGGTGCATTCAGTTCTTATTTGTGTGAAAATGCTTTTATTTTGTGAATTTTTGTATTGCACTTAATACTGATACATAATTACAGGTTGACCTCTGCCCCCACCCCTTTCTAAAGATATCTTTCTACTGTCTTCTGGCTTCCATTGTTTCAATTAAGAAGTCAGCTATTAGCTGTCATTCTTATTGTCCCCCCTTTGAAGTTAATACACTTTTTTCTCTATCTCTTTCTTTTTTTAAGATTTCTCTTTGACTTTGGTTTTCAGAAATTTAACTATGATGCATCTAGCTATGTGGTTTTCTTTGTATTCTTTCTTCTTAAGGCTCATAGCATTTCTTGAATAAAGTATTTGATCAGTTTGGAAAAATCCTCAGCAACTATCTTTTCAAATATTGCTTGTGCCCCATTTTTCTTTTCATTGTCTTACTGAAATTTCAGTTACATGTGTATTAGATCTTTTCATTGTACCTGTCCCATAAATTTTGCATGCTCTTTTCTTTATTTTCTGTAATTTTTTCTCCCTCTTTTGTTCTCAATATTTATTTCTGACCTATCTTCCAATTCACTATTTTTTCAATAGTCCTGTATGTCTTATTGTTACATCTATCTGTAAAGTTCTTAATTTCAGTTCTAGAATTTATATTTTCTTTGTTTTTATAATTTTTTGTTCTTCACTGAATTGTATTGCCTTATTTAATCTTTTAAACATTTTAATCACTGTTATCTTAAGTCCTATCAGATAAATACAACAACTGCATTTCTCATGGATAATTTTGCACTGTCTGGTTTTCTTTCCCTCTTGTTAGCTGGTCAAATCTTTATTTATTTATTTATTTATTTATTTTAGATGGAGTCTTGCTCTTTTCACCCAGGCTGGAGTGCAATGGCGCGATCTCGGCTCACTGCACCCTCTGCCTCCCGGGTTCGAGTGATTCTTCTGCCTCAGCTTCCTGAGTAGCTGGGATTACAGGTGCCCGCCACCATGCCCAGCTAATTTTTGTATTTTTAGTAGAGACGGGGTTTCACCACATTGGCCAGGCTGGTCTCGAACTCCTGACCTCAGGTGATCCGCCCACCTGAGCTTTCCAAAGTGCTGGCATTACAGGCGTGAGCTACCACGCCCCGCTGGTCAAATCTATTTAATATGCTATTAATTTTTCATTGAGTGTCATACATTTTAGATGAAAACTTGCAAGGCATTTTGAGGCTTCAGTGAATGTTTTTCTCCAGGTGGGACTTCAACTTGCTTCTACCAGGCAGCTAAGTGAGATGCCAATCACCTTAATCCTTTAGGACTTGAGCTGACCTAAAACTTTTCTTAAACCTTTATAAGGCTTGTTCTATTTTCTGTTTACACTCACTTGCAGGGTGAAGCCCTGTAGATTGCAGAGTGATATCCTAAGTCTTTATCCAAGGATTTTTCATTCCTGGAAGGCACTAAACTCAAATTTGTGTTGTCCTTCTCAGTGCGACTTTTAAATACTCCTGTCAACCTCCAAGCCTTTAGTAACTGCTTTGGGGGGTGAACATCTCTTGGCTTGCCTCTGTCAGATTATTTGCCCTGAAGCCCCTCTTTACCTTGATGGCTCTCTGATGACTTCAAACAGATGGGTTTTGGACATTTTGTTCAGCCTTTATAGTTATTTTCAGTAGGAAATTGGTGCAAAATAAACTGATCTCCATTGCCATAAGCAGAAGTTAGCTTCATTTCTTTTTTTAAAGAACAAAAGCCTTGCCTTTGCAGTTTTTTTAGATTATTCATTTTCTGAAAGTCAGTGGCTTTACTGAGTTTAGGGAATAAATTCCATCCAGAGGCATGAGAAAGTTGGAGGCTCCATCGCCGACTTGTTAGAATATAGCTTTTAGTTAGAGCTACACTGCAGACATTTCTTCACAATTTCATCTGATTTAGCACCAGTTGTTAGGCTTCATAATTCAAGTCCAAGAGTCTATTATACTGATAAAATTCTTTAAAAAATTATATTTCAGTTGAATGTCCATTGGTGCCCAGAGGTAGCAAGCTGTAGAATATGGGATGTGAAATTTTGTCTTTTCTCAATATAATTTTTGCTTTTATTGGGTTTCAAGGAAAGCTGAACAAAAATCTAAGAGAAAATGATGACAAAAATGTAGACAAAATTAAGTAAAGAAAATTAGGACATAAAGTTAGAAGAAGAAAAAATTTAGGTTTGGTGTAGGTGAAATAAATTAAAGACTAATATGTATTGTGCTGTCTAACGAATATAGACAGTGCTTATGTTCATCCAGAACTAGAGATTTCTACAGAAGAGCAGAAAATCAACAATTTAAATGGTGATGAGGGAATTCCTAAGAGAGTATTGCTGGAGTGTTGTGTTTGTCTTCCATATCAACTAGCATGATTTATTCCCATGTTCCAAGCATATTCCAGGAACATTCATTCAGATGCTTCATCTCCTAGAGTGAAAATTAATAGTGAATTATATCAAAGGAAATCTGAGTTTCTGGGAAAGAAGGTGTTATTTTGTGGCAGAGGGAATCCTTCTTTGCTGATCTCACCTGAAAGTCACATTCTTTCCTCTGACTTTCTGTAGCAGAAGTCTCAGTCTTAACATACATTCAAGTGTTTGTGTACTGCCTGTTTCCAGACCCTGTCCCTACTTGGTATGAAACTCAATCTTCTCAAATTGTATAAGTACTCTAGATCCTTCCGGAGAAGCATGATGAAGACTGCTCTAGACCATTTGTCTATATGTATTTAATTTATGCTTATTGAACATATGTTAAGCAACTAAACACTATATCCAAATGTGGTGTTATAAATTCAGGCAGGATGAATTGATTGATAATATCAGCTAGATGAGACACAGTAGTTGGAAATCACATTAGCTAATTTTCAGGATCCATGATGTTAGAAGTTATCATTCTAAGAGACCTGACCAAACATGGCGGGGACCAACTCCATGTGGTAACACAGGAGAGTGGCAAAGACAGTCTGAGGCCCAGATCCAGGGGGATACTCAAGACCATCTTCAGGAGCAGTGAGCAATGGATGAGGTCTTGCGGGAGAATTAGGTTTGAATAATTCTTGGCTTAGCCATGTGATTATGGGCTTAGGGAGGACAAATGATTCAAAATTAGCTTAGGAGTTTACTTAAGTCTGATCTTATAGGTTGTAAGAAAGGGAAGGAAGAAGGCTGTAGACAAGGACAATTTAGAGTTCCCAATACAAACATTTGTGTTATATTTAAATGACATTTTAAATCCTATCCTAGAGATGTGTGGCCCATTCTATGTCATTCTTCAGAACCTGCCCATTATTATAGTTCTTTGGATACAGGTTTTATGGATTTTCTGAAAGAGGCTATGCCTTTGTACCTTAATTTTCTCCATTGTGTTTAGCATAAGAGTACTTAAAAAGTAGGTGCTGAAAATATTTTTTCAAGTCAGTATAATATGTGTGATTTTTAAAATATCTCTACTGGCTAGATGGATGTTGAATTCAGCCCTTGGATTTTCCTGAACTCTTGGTACTGTGGGGCTCTGAACTTGCCTTGGGAGTGAGGCAGGAATGAAGTGAGGAGTGAGAAAGAGAAAGTCCTCCTGATTTTCTGTTTTCTTCTATTTTCTTCTTCTCTCACCTGGGCTCTTTTCTGATGGGGAATAGCAGATTGGCCCACCAAGGAAAAATGTCACGAAAAGGAATTTGTTTCATGGATAAATTATTCATGTTTTGACTAGGCCTATTTTATGTACCAGAAATTCATCTTGACCAATTCATTTAAAACTAAATCCTGGATGACTTCTGTTTCTAGAAGCTGAAGTAGGCATTCTTTGCCTTTTCATCCCACTAAGTAAAAATTCTGAACATTATACATAAAATATACATAAAGGACTCTGAAAAGTGGAGAAAAGAAACATTTGAGCTGGGGCCTTTGGGACCTGAAAAACCACATGGCAGTGAGTTCTTAATGCTAAAGAACTAGAATCCTGGAAATGCGGACAGGTGCAGACAGAAAATAAAACCAAGCCAAATCAAAATCAAAGCAAACCAAACACACACACACACACACACACACACACACACACGTGCAGACAGAAAATAAAACCAAGCCAAATCAAAATCAAAGCAAAACACACACACACACACACACACACACACACACACACACACACACACACCTGTTTTCTCTAGCCAAATGATCAGGAAAGGGCCAGGCTGGCAAGATATGGAGCTTTTAGATAATAACCTTTCTATTCCAGCCAAACACCACAGAAAGAAGTTTGGCCCCGCCTCTGCTCATGTTAGCAAAGCCTGAGTAGAAAACGTAGACTTTGACCTTTGTGAGGCTCTGTTGAGACCAAACACCCTCACCTGGGTGATAACAGAGGCAGCCCAGGAAGGAGCCTGAATTTACATCTCTGTTAGATGGTAGTGAGGCACCCCTGCCCGCATATGAACAACTCTATACACATGAATTTGACAACTTAGATGAAGCAGGCCAATTCCAAACAAATTACAAGTAAACCAACATGAAATCGAGAATTTGAATGGCCCTATGACTATTAAGGAACTTAAATTTATAATCTAAAACTCCCCAAAAAGAAATATCTAGGTCCAGATGATTTCACCAGAGAATTCAACCAAAAGCTTAAAGAAAAATTAACACCAATTCACAATCTCTTCCAGACAAAAGAGTAGAAGATACCTCTCAAATCATTTTATGAAGTAGTATTACCTTGAACCAAAACCAAAGGCAGTTCAAAAAAGGAAACTAAAGAGCGATGTATCTCCTAAATATAAATAAAAATGTCTTTAACAAAATATTAGCACATAGAATTCAGCAACATATAAAGAGTTATACATCATAATCAAAGTGGGATTTCTTCTAGAAATGCAAGGATGATTCATTGTTTGAAAATCAGTCAATGTGTTTAATTGTATTAACAGGCTAAAGAAAAAAAGGCTCACATGATCATATCAACTAATTCAGAAAAAGCATTTAAAAAAATTAAATACTCATTTATGATAAAAAAATTCTCATAAAAATAACAATAGTGGAGGCCGGGCACGGTGGCTCACTCCTGTAATCCCTCCCTTTGGGAGGCTAAGGAGGGTGGATCACAAGGTCAAGAGATCGAGACCATCCTGGCCAACATGGTGAAATCCCATCTCTACCAAAAATACAAAAATTAGCTGAATGTGGTGGCGTGCACCTGTAGTCCCAGCTACTTGGGAGGCTGAGGCAGGAGAATGGCATAAACCCAGGAGGCGGAGGTTGCAGTGAGCCAAGATCGCACCACTGCACTCCAGCCTGGCGACAGAGCAAGACTCCGTCGCAAAAAAAAAAAATGGCAATAGCGGAGAATTTTCACAACGTGATAAAGAACATCTATCCCCTCTGCAAGAAAACTACAGCTAACATTACACTTAATGGCTAGAACCTGAAAGCTTTTTCCCTTCAATTAGAAACAGGTTCCACCACTTTTATTCAACATAGTGCTGGAAGGTATTGCTAATGCAATAAGATGGGGCTGGGGGAAGGCATACAAACCAGGAAGGAAAAAAAACAGTCACCATTTTCAGATGGAATAATTGTCTATATAGAAAATGAAAAAAATCTACAAAAACATCCACAGAACTGATAAATAAGTTCAGCAAATTCATAAGATAGAAGATAAACATACAAAAATCTGTTGTATTTATCATAGCAATGAACACATGAAAATCAAAATTTAAATTATAACACCATTTACAATAATCAGAAACATTTTAAAGTAAATATTTAGGTGTAAATCTTACAAAATGTACAGAGCTTGTGTGCTGAAAACTACAGTACTAATCAAAGGAAGCACACAAAATGTAAATTAATGGACATAAATGCAATTTTTACTGATTGGAAAACTCGACATAGTAAAGTCTCAGTTCTTCACAAACTGACATACAGATTTAACATAATTCTTATCAAAATATGAGCAAAATTTTTATAAATATTGAGATTATTTTAAAATTCATATGAAAATTCAAAGGAACTAAAATAGCTAAAACAATTTTGAAAAGAAAAATAATGTGATAAAAATAAATCTGCCTCATTTCAAGACTTACTATGTCACTATAGTATCAAGATTATCAGTGGAACAGACACATAAATCCACTAGCAATCAGAATAGATAGTTTGGAACACAATAGATGGTGTGGAAGTATACCCATACAGATAGGACCAGTTGATTTTTTTTTTTGAGACGGAGTCTGCTCTGTCGCCCAGGCTGGAGTGCAGTGGCGCCATCTCGGCTCACTGCAAGCTCCGCCTCCCAGGTTCACGCCATTCTCCTGCCTCAGCCTCCCGAGTAGCTGGGACTACAGGTGCCCACCACCGCGCCCGGCTAAATTTTTGTATTTTTAGTAGAGACGGGGTTTCACCGTGGGCTCGATCTCCTGACCTTGTGATCCGCCCGCCTTGGCCTCCCAAAGTGCTGGGATTACAGACGTGAGCCACCGCGCCCAGCCTGACCAATTGATTTTTTGGACAAAGATTCAAAAGCAATTCAATGAAGGAAACATCACCTTTCAACAAATGATACTAGAGCGATTAAATGTCCATAGACTAAAATAAATGAACCTCAAGTCTCACACCTTGTACAAACTTTAAATATATTAACTCAAAATGGAGCATGGACTTAAATGTAAAATGTAAAACTTTATAAAAAGTGTAAAGAAAAAGCAAAAAATATTCAGAATCTAGTCCTAGGCAAATAGCTCTAAGACTTGATACCGAAAGCATGATTTATAAAAGAAAAAGTGAATAAATTGGACTTTATCAAAATTAAAACCTTTTGCCCTGTGAAAGACTTTGTTAAGTAAGGATGAAAAGCCAAGCTAGAGACCGGAAGAAAATAATGGTAAACCCCATATCTAACAAAGGACTAGTATCTAGAATATAGACTATAGAACTTCTAACACAACAGTAAGAATGCAAACAATTAGACCAAGGGCAAAGATATAAATAAACATTTTACCAAAGTTATACAGATAGCAAATAAGCACATAAAAAGATGTCCAACACCTAGGGAAATAACAATTAAAATCACAATGATATATCACTACATACCTACCTATCAGAACAGTAAAATAAAAATAGTTCAGCCTGGGCAATGTAGCGAGACTCTTGTCTGTACAAAAAAATAAACAAATAAATAAAATTAGCTAGGTGTGGTGGCATGTGTCTGGAGTCCCAGTTACTTGGGAGGCTGAGGTGGGAGGATCGCTTGAGCCCAGGAATTTGAGACCACAGTGAGCTATGACTGCACCACTGAACACCAGCCTGAGCAACAGAGTGAGACCCTGTCTCAAAAAAAAATTCAAAAGTGACAACACCAAATGTTGGTGAGAATGTAGAGGAACTGGAGCACTCGTATATTGTTTGGTTGATAGTTTGAAGTTCTGCTGAATTTCGAAGCCTTCAAAGTATTTTGGTGTGTATTTCCTCATATAATTTGGCAATAATTATTTGAGGTGGTAATAGGAAAGGAATTCTTACTACTTCTCTTCCTAAATAAGTAAACAAATTTGTGGAGTGGCTAATTTACTACCTAAGGTCACACAATAATGTCAGAGAACCATTGACCATAGAAGTCAATTAATATTAGTCTTAGGACTTTTTCTTAGTGTTCCAAGACTATCATGAGGTGGTTTTATTTGTTTCTGTCGTGGTTTATAATCTCAAGCATTTTTTGTAGTAAAACGTCTGAGGATCATTAATAAACCTATGATCATAAGATTTTGTAAATAAAATGTCCATGGATTAAAAGAAAAAAATATATTTTTTCTATTACCAGAGTTTAACACTCTGCTGAAAAGAAATACATAATTATAATTAAGGTTCTCTTTTTATTCTTGCACATATTTCCTGTTTATTGAATACTTTTTTTTCTGAAAACCCACTCAACTATTTAAAAAGTAGATTGGTTATTACTCTTAACATCCTTGTAGACAACTTTCTGTATAATTGTTTAAGGTCTGTCTCTTTTTGTGTGTGTGTGTGTGTGTGTGTGTGTGAGGATAAAAGAAAAGGACTATAATAGAAGTTATATAAAACTCTAACTTTTTTTCATTATTGACACATAATAATTGTATATATTTATGGGGTACCTGTGGTATTTTGATGGCATGCATACAATGTGTAATGATCAAGTTATGGTAATTTGGATATCCATCTCCCAAAACATTTATCATTTCTTTGTGTTGGGAACATTAAATATCTTCTAGATATTTTGAAATATACAGTAAATTATTTTTAACTATCATTACCCTACTCTGCTGACACTACAACTTATTCCTTCTATTTAGTTTTATGTTTGTACCCATTTACCATCCTCTCTTCATCTCTCCCTTCTCCTTCCCTTCCTACCCCACTTTTATTTTCAGATAATGTTGCAATGCAATCAGTGAAGTAGATCTTTGTTAGCTTATATCGTGTGATCTGACACCAAAATCAGTAATGGAATTAAGCTAAACAGTTCCTTTATTAGATAAAACAAACATGCTTCAAGGTGAAGCTAGCCATAGAAAGTAACTTTCAGGTTTCTTTATTGAGAAATGAGGCAAGAGAGATAAGTGGCAGTATATACTTGGTTAATGTTAATTTCTTTATAAAGCCATTCTGTGTCCCTTAAGTGGGACAACAGCCATGAGGCTAAAAGATGAGAACTTTGGCATTCCACCTTTATTGAGCTGTACTGCATATTAGAGCTTTATTGAGCTGTACTGCATATAGAGCTGAGACTGAAACGAGACTGCAATTATTCCAAACAACTGGAGTACCTTTTTAAGGAGCCTTCTTTCCTCAAAATAATACTTTTATACTGATATTTAATCATTTTTTCTCCCAAAAGTGGCACTTGAAAAAAAGTGTATAATCTCTAATTCTTAGTGTAAATCTTACCTCCTTCACTTAACTAGCAATGTAGCATTGAATAAGTCATTTATCACTCTAAACTGAATTTTCCTCATCTATAAATGGAGAGCTATTACCTACTTCACAGGATTCCTAGGGAAATGAAATGAGAGTAAAATGCTTGATTTCCAGTAGAATCTTGGTGGATGTTCAGCCTAAATTGAGATTTTATGTAACACTACACTCTCCCTTTTTCTCTTTTCACTCCTTCACAACATCTGCCTTTCCTTTTTTGCCTTCTTTAAAAAAAAATCACAGAGGTTTATACTGGGTCCTTTCCTCTGATTATAACCTTTTCAGTACTTCAAAAATTGTCACAATTTTCTCATTTCTAAACTAGAAAATCTATTCTCGTTTGGCATTCTGGAGAAGTATGTAGGATTTGTTATTAAGGGAGCTTAAGTTTCTATGAGAATAATATGAGTGAATCATGTTACTTGGCAAATGAACAGTTGACGCAAAAGACCTCAAGACCCATCATCTGCTTACATTTCTGTCTTATCCAACATTGAATCCATTGTCATAGCCATATGCTAGTACTGGATAAGAATTATGTTAGATGGCCGGGCGCGGTGGCTCACGCCTGTAATCTCAGCACTTTGGGAGGCCGAGGTAGGTGGATCACCTGAGTTTGGGAGTTCGAGACCAGCCTGACCAACATGGAGAAACCCCGTCTCTACTAAAAATAAAAAAAAAATTAGCCGGGTGTAGTGGTGCATGCCTGTAATCCCAGCTACTTGGGAGGCTGAGGCAGGAGAATTGTTTGAACCTGGGAGGCGGAGGTTGTGGTGAGCCGAGATCACACCATTGCAGTCCAGCCTGGCAACAAGAGCAAAACTCCGTCTCAAAAAAAAAAAAAAAAAATATATATATATATGGTTAGGAAATGTAATTTGAGGGAAAAGAAGTTTGAAGAAGAGCCATAGCAATCAGGTAAAAATGCTAGAAAAAAAACAATCTTAGATGTTGTTTCTTGTGGTCTTTTGCATCAGTTGATAAATTGGACTTAATCAAAATGTGAAACTATGTTACTTTATGAATGTACCAGTATTTGTTTATCTGTTTGCCAGGTGAAGGATATTTGGATTGTTTTCAGATTTGGGAAATTATGAATAAATCCTCTATAAACTTTCATAAGCAGGTTTTTGAGTGAGCATAAAATGTTTTTGAGTGAGTCAGAGTGTGGTTAAGTATCTAGTTTGTGACATTCCTTTATTATTCCTTAAATATTGATGCTGTCTTTGTGATGTTTCCCATTTTTTCCCTGATATTGATAATTTGTAACTTCTCTCTGTTTATCTTGGTCAATCTGGCTAGAAATTTGTCAGTTTTATTCATTTGTTTCTCAGAACCAGATTTTGATTTTCCCGTTGGTTTTGTTTGTTTTCTTGCTTTCAATTTTACTGATATCTTCAGTTAACTTCGTTATTTCTTTCCTTCTGTTTGTTTTGGGTTTAATTTGTTTTTCTTTCTCTAGTTTATTAAGATGGAAACTTAGATGCTCTTTTAAAAATTTAGGCATTTGGTGGTATTAATTTTCATTTAAGCTGTGTCTTGAATGCATACCACAATACTTAATATGTTGTGGTTTTGTGTTTATTTAATTCAAAATATTTTCTAATTTTTTCATTACTTCTTCTTTGGCTTATGGTTATTTAGAAACATGTTTTTAAATTTCACAACATTTGAGGACCTTCCAGCTATTGTTCTGTAATTGAGCTCTATTTTGATCTTTCAGGCAGGAAACATAATTAGTATGATTTTTAGTTTTCATGATTTGTTAAAGTTTGTTTTATAGCTCAGAATACGGTCTAATTTGGTGAAAGTTCTAAAAGCACTTGAAAAAAATGTATATTCTGTTCTTGTTGAGTAGAATATTCTATAGACATTAGATCCACTTGATTGGTACTGTTGTTCATGTCTTCTATATCCTTACCTATTTTTTATTTGTTCTATTAACTGCAGAGAAATTGTGGTTGAAATTGAAATCTCCAGTCATCACTTTGGATTTTTCTATTTCTCTTTTCAGTTCTATCAGTTTTTGCTTCATGAATTTTGAACCTCTGTTGTTAGGTGGTCATAGAGATTTCATATTAAAATAAAATAGAGTAAACCCTTCAGACAAATAGAAACAATAGAAATTTCTGTTTATTTCTTGTTAAGAAGTTATCTTAAAAGCAGAATGATCTTTATACGTAGACCATGTGGACAGTTTCTTGTGATGTCCTTAGACCTGACTAGTGGTTCTCAAAGTTTAATGTTAAAAATGCTATAAGGTTATACACACAAATTCATGTATATTTCATGGATGATTTAAGGAATGTACAAGAATAAACTTTACCTGATTTTTCTGTTGTGGACATACTTTAGAATATTACCTCCTGCAAAAGTCCACTTCCATAATATTTTCTTTTGCCTTCATTCTGCTTAAGAATGTCCAATTCAAAGGTTACTTCCTCAGTCAAACTTCTATGAACTGCTGTTTTCCTCAGTAGATTAATTCAAGCTTTTATAGCTCTTCAAATATATTTCTGTCATGGAACCTGAAATTCTATTGTACAGGTTGCCTATCTGTTATCCAAAATGCTTCAGACCAAAAGTGTTTTGAATTCGGGGTTTTTTTTTGGATTTTGGAATGTTTGCACGTTCATAATGAGATTTCTTGGGGGATGGGGCCTAAATCCAAACACAAAATTTGTTGATGTTTTGTATACACCTTACCCACATAGCCAGAAAATAATTTTATACAATATTTTAAATAAATGGAAATGAAGTTTGTGTTACATCCTTATGAAACAAAGTTTGTGTTAAGTACTTATGTGTGAAACAGGAAATAAAGTGGAACCTTCTACTTGTGTCCTCATGTCAGCACTCAAAAAGTTTTGGATTTTGGAGCATTTCCGATTTGGGAATTTCAAATTAGGGATGCTCAACCTGCATATCATTACCTATGAGATGCCTTTGGAGAATAACTTAATCATCTGTTTCCACATTGTTTGTCATACCAACCTGATGTGTGGTTAGGTACTTACAGGTTATTTTTAAATGATGAATAGATGAATACATGAATATAATTTTTCTGCTGTCGTCAACAGAGTGGCTAGGTAATCATGTTTTTATTGGCTCTTGAGCTCAATGAATAATTGTGGAGTCATGATCCCTAGACTACTTCACTCAATACATTTTTTTTTCTGCTGATCAATTAGGCAGGATGTTTATTATCACTGAGTGCAATAATAATCCAGTCACTGAATAAATGACATTCA